>NW_017852932.1:0-265876 GCF_000001405.40 Homo sapiens
TTTTGAGATTCCTTCATATTCAGCACTTGGCTGTATTCAACTTCATATTCAGCTGAGTGCTGAATATGAAGAAATCTCAAAACTATACTATGGAACCTGGGAAGTATTTGCAGAATATACTCCTTGTGTCACTGTGTAGTATTCCCTTGTGTGACTATACCAAAAAATGTATTTCTCTATCTTGCTGTTGCATTATTTGCATTATTTCCAGCTTTCTAGTATTAAGAACAGTGCTGCTGATAACATTGTTATGTCTTTCTCCTGATGCATAATTGCAGGAATTTCTCTAAGTTATGTGTCTATGAGCAGAGTTGCTGGATCACAGGGTATTCACATTTTCAACTTTACTGGATAATGCAGTTGTTTCTCAAAGTGGCTGTGTCAGTTTATACTCCCACCAAAAGTGCAGAAAAGTTTCCTTTGTTCCACCTCCTTACTGACTTCCACATCCTTAACTTGGTATTTTGAGACTTTTTATTATTGTTTATCTAGACAGTAAGAAATTATATCACATTATTATTGCAATGTGGATTCCAAGATGACTATAGTAGCTGAACAACTTTTGACATGTTCATTGGCCATTCATGCTCTCAATGGTGAAAGTTCTACTCATCTCTTTTGTTCCACTTTCTTTTGGGCCATTGGTCTTTTCTGTATTTACTCACAGTTTTTTATTAGATTCTGGACACTGAGCCAGTGTCAGTTACATGTGTTGCAAATCTCTTCTCTCAGTCTGTGGCTTGTCTTTCTAGTCTCTGATGTCATATAATAGCTAGATGTTATTAATTTTAATTTACTCTGATTTTGCAATCTTTTATTTATTGTTAGGGTGTTTTTGTGTGTGTGGCATGTTTAAGAAATAACTACCCTAAGGTCTTCAAGATATTCTTTCACATTTTCTGCTAAAAATCTTAAACTTTTATCTTTCATTTTTAAGAACTTTATCAATCTGGAATTAATTTTTGTGTATGGAACAAAGTAGGGATCCATTTTCATATTTTTTAAGTCTGGATAAATAGTATCATGTTCTGAAGAGCCTATCTTTTCCCTACTGATATACTCTCACCTGTCAGTGTCCACATATGCATGGGTCGATTTAGAAGCTCTTAATTGCATTCCATTGGTCTATTTTTCTATCCCTGTGCCAAAGCCTCACTCTTTATTTCTGGACCATTAACATTTTATGCTGTTGTCTGATAGGACAACTATCCCTCTCCCCTCTTATTCTTACTTTTCAGGAATGCATTGGCTCTTCTTGACCTTTGGCTTTTCCATATAAATTTTGAAATTAGCTTATCAGTTTCCATGAAAATTCTGTCAGGATTTTCATGGGAACTCCATTCTATGTATATTAATTTTGGAAGAATTGTTATTTCAAATAATCTTATTTACAATCATGGTAAGTCTCTATTTTTTTCAGACCTTTTGGATGTCTTTCAATAAAGTGGCATAATTTTCTCCAAAAAGAAAATTATAGAATAGCAGTTAAGAGCACATATTCTAGAAACAGATGCTGGGTTTGAATTCCCACTCTGCAATTTATTAACTGTGGAATATGGAACAACTTACGTGATCTCTTTGGGTCTCAGTTTCCTCAGCTGTAAGTGGAACTAATTAATAGTACTTACCTCATAGGGTTCTTATAAGGATGCATGGATTTTTGTATATTTATATATTATATATAAATATATGTAATATATACTATATGTAAAATATATACTGTATATAAATATATATACACAAACACAAAAGAAAATATATAAATCAAAAATATAATGTAGTGATAAACAAAATATATCTAGGATAATAAAAGCAAAGACTTTATATAGCACTTATCATGAGCCATGTACTATTCTAAACTATTTTATTTATATGTAAAGTGTTTCGAATAGTGCATAGCCCATGGTAAGTACTATATAAGTCTTTGCTTTTATCATCTCTAGATACATTACATTTTATTTTCCTCCCACAAATAGCATTTTAAATTGCATTTATGCATGTAGCTGATTTATACATGTGTCAGTATACACGGACAATTGACAATTATATTAATCAAAACCTGAAAACTGGTTAGATTATCTTATTAATTCTAAGGATTCTTGTACATTATTTTGAGCATTTTAGTAGATTATCTGCTAATAATATGATTTCATCCACTCTACTTCTTGAATATTTGATTTTTTTTCTTGTCTTATTGCATTGGCTAATACTGCCAGTATATTGTTGAATACAAATTATAGTGGCAAGAATCCTTTCTTGTTCCTAACTTTAAATAGAGATAATTTTATATTTAACCACTGAATAAAATTTTGGCTATAGATTTCAGATAGAATAGTGTATCAGGCTAAGAAGTTTCTTCTGTTTTGTTTGCTAAAAATTTTTATCATAAAAAATATTATTTAATTAACTATTGTGACAAATAATATTTATCTATTAAACGGTGGACTAACGTTATATTCCTGTAATCATATGAACTTGGTCATAGTATATTATCATTGATTTTAGACTCAATTTGCTAATATTTTGTTTCAGATGTTTAATCAATAATAAACTGTTAAATTGCCCTGTAACTTCCCTTTCTTGTACTGACTTTGTTAAATTTTCATTTTGAAGATACACTGGCCTCTTTTTGACTTCCTGAAATATTATGTAAGTTTGGAATTATTTGTTCCCTAAAAGCTTACCTAATATTTAGAATTCTGTACCTGGTATCTTCTTCGAAGAGATGTTTTAAAATATTGAATCAGTACCTTAAAGGCTATAAAATCATTTCTTATTCAATTTTAGGGATTTTTATTTTCCTAAGAATGTATTCATATTGTCTGAATTTTTAAGTTATGGAGTTTTTATTTTAATTACTTTTTAATCTCTGCTGCCTCAGTGCATAGTTATGTCTCTTTCATCCTAATTGCTATTTACTTGTTTTTTCTCATTATATCCTTATCAGACTTGCAGAGATATGCCAATTTCATTATGATTTTCAAAGAAGCAAGTTTTATCTATTGCTCCCTTCTATTAACTCTGTTTTTCATTTTTGTAATTTCTGACCTTGTCTTTACTACTTCCTAACTTCTTTCCTTGAGTATTTTCTATTATTACTTTCTACTGTTTAAGGTAAGATGCTTAACTCATTTCTTTTCAGCCCCTCTTCTTTACAATATAAGCACTTAAAGCCATAATTTTATTTGTAGGTACCAATTAAGCTGAACCCTCACAAGATTTGATTTATAAGATTGTCACAATGATGTTTTTATTACATATTCACCATAAAGCTTCTTTCATTTCTGTTTTCTTCATTTTTAGTCATTTATAGCATAATTTTGTTGTTGCCTAAGAATGTGGTTTATAAGACTATATTCATTAAAAGGCAGACAGCCTCATACTTGATCAATTATTATAAATGTTCTATGTGCACTTGAGAAGAATATGTATTCTTCAATTGTTTGTGCGTGTTCTGTACACGTTTCTTAAGTCAAACTTGTTAAATGTGTTTTTCAAATCTTCTCTGCCATTGTCTGATCTGCTTGACTACATCAAAAAAAATCACTGGGTCACTCATTGAGAGCAGGATGTTAAAATCTCCCACTTAGGTTGTAAATTTGTCAATTTGTCCTTATAGTTGCATCAGTTTTTGCTTTATATATTTTGAAGCTATATTGTTAGATATATTCAAATTTAGAATTGGTATATATTGAAACGCTATTAATTTGTAGTGAGCTTTTTATCTCCAAAAATATTTTTGGCCTTAAAGGCTATTATATATGAGATTTATGTACTATACTAGCTTTCCTTTAACATTTATCTAGTTATGATTTTTTCCTATCCTTTAATTTCAATCTTTCTCTATTCTTGGATTTTGCTACGTATTTTGTAAACAGCATATATCTGGATTTCTGTTTTGTTGTGCTTTTTAAATCCAGTTTGGCATTCTTTACCTTTGAACAGGGCATTTGGCCCTTTCATATGGCCTTCAATTTCTCATACATTTGAGTTTACTTCTACCATCTTATTTTCAACTTTTAAAAACCATTTCCTTCTTTTAGATTAATTTAGTTCTCCTTCCATTCCAGTTTTTCTTATACTAGTTTTGGAAGTTATTCACTTTATTTTTATGCTTAAGTTTAACAGTTATTAAAGTGAAAAGTTAATTGTCATAGTTTGGGCTCCCTGATTAACAGAATCTAATACAAGGGCTTAAAGGCAGATAATATATTTGGCAGGCAACCAAAAAAGCAAAGGAGTGACAGAATGGTGGGAACAAGAGGAAAAACCCTTAGCAAGGGTCATTATCAAGGTCACTACTGTGAGCAATGGTAGGTTTTCTGCCATGACAGAATTCTGCCAGGTTTTCTGAGAAACATGAAAAATGACTTCTAGAATTTCCCATCTGAACGAATGACTTCTAGAATTATCCATGTGGAAGTACAAGCAGTTATCTATCACTTCCCATTCCTCATTAGTTGGGGATCCCCACAGGGTCAATAATCCCCCAAACCTCTATTCTGCACTTGCACAAGGGCCTGTTGGTCTCCCATGGCTTTGGAGAAGGCTTTTCAGCATGAAGAGGAAAGGAGCATGGTGCGTCCAGGTTGGATGCTTTCAGCATGAGTTCAAGGTCACATATTAGTATCTACCATAGCTGCAAATGAGGAGAAAGAGGACAGTGCTGTCTGCTACATAAATCATCTTTACTCTTCTCTCAAAAAAAACAGGGATCATAGAATGCTTTAAATTCAACCACTCCCATCCTGACTTATTTGTAAGTGTCCAGGATTATGGTTCTATTTTAATCCACAAATTAGGTATATTAATATTGTTTAATACAGTCAATGTTTGTTTCAATTTACCAATCTATTATTTTCTTTGCTCACCCATCTAACTAGCATTTTAGACCCTCCTTTTGAAATCATTTTCCTTCTTCCTAAATTAAAAATCCTTGGCTGTTCCTTTAGAGAAGGCTGCTGTCAAAAAATGCTCCCCAGGCCTGGTTGTCTGAAAATTTCTTTTTGTTGTCCTCGTTCATGAAAGGAGTTTCATTTGATATAGGGTCCTGTTGATGCGGGACAGGTAAGCCCCAAAATTGGGGCTTAGCCCGGGAGGGTTCTGGGCTTCACCCAAGAAAGAATTCAAGGGTGAGCCAGTGGTGTTAGCAACTTTTATTGAAGCAGTAGTGCACAGCAGCAGCAGAGGGACTTCTCCTTGTGGAGCAGGGCTCCCCACAGGCAGTATGCCTAGAGTAGCAGCTCAGAGGCAGGTCTGCACTCATATTTATACCCACTTTTAATTAAATGCAAATTAAGGGTCAGTTTATGAGTAAATTTCTAGGAGAAGGGTCACAACTTTTGGGTTGCCATGGTCATTGCCATGGAAACAGGTGGGGTGCCATGGTAACTTCTAGGTGTTGCCATGGCAATGGTAAACGGACATGGCACACTGGTGGGCATGTCTTATGGAAAGCTACTTCAGCCCTGGACCCATTTTAGCTAGTCCTCTATTTGGTCCAGTGTCCAAGCCCCACCTCTGGAGTAGAGTCCTGCCTCCTATATCTCATTATGTTGACAGTCATATTCTCTCTAAAGTGTGAAAATCTCGTTTCCCTAAGTTCAGAGTTTGATTGTTGGTGTTGAGAAGTTATCACAACCGAATTTTCATTCCTTTAGGGTAATTTGTCTTTTGTTCCTGGCTACCTTTAAGATCTCTGTCTCTGATGTCCTGTAGTTTCACTGTGGTGTATCTGTGTGTGGATTTACTCAATGTAGGCCTTGGTATCTTTTATCAAATTAGAAAAATTATCAGTCATTATATACCTCAGAGTAGCATCTCTTCTCTTCTTTTTCTCCTTTTTCTATTCCAGTGATAGAGATCCTGGACTCTCTCATTCTACCATCCATGACTCTCAACATCTTTTGCAGGTCTTTTTCAGATCTATCTTTCACTTCACTAATCTTGTCTTCAACTGTCCACTAGATTTTAACTTCATTTGTAATCATTTCTTATTTTTAGAAGTTCTATTTGGCTACTTTTCAATCCTGCCTGATCAATTTGTATAATCTCTTGAGGGGTTTTAATCCCTTCTTTTACTCCTTCAACATCTTTGCATTGAATTCTCTTTCTGCTAGTTCCAACGTCTGCAGTCATGGTTCTGATTGTACAGTTGGTTGTTTCTGCTGACTCTCACTAATGGTGGTTTGTGTCCTCATGTACTTATCAGTTTCTCATTGTGAGCTTATGTTCCTAGGATCTTTATCTGTGGGAGTTTTCCAAGCCTGTGGTTAGAGTTTTCCTCCAAAGAGTGTTTATATTTTTTTTTCAAAATATCCAGGGGCATTACCAAACTTAAAAGTAAATTTTCAGCACGTAATTTTTCAGGTCACACATGTAACAAATACAGACCACCAAATATGCATGAAAGCATGAGGGAAGGCTTGTGGATAAAAGTTCTCAGGGGAGAAATGTTCTTTTACTCTGTTCTACCTAGAGCCAACAGTTATGTTTTCTCATTGTCTCCCTCTGTAGGGTGGGTAACTTTTTCAGGTCGCTCACTGAAAGACCTCAGCTTTATGCATGAGTATTTTCACTTTGTTTAGATTGTAGCCCTTTTCTCTATATCCTATATGTGTAACACTTAAGACACAAAGGACAAATGCCAGCCTCTATGGAAATCACTTACTTTGCCCTAGCTTAGTCACACTTCTAAAAGACTCATATTTTAAATCCCACATATATTGGTTAGCTGTACATAATGGGGGGTTCATCTGAACATTTTTTTTATCTGTCTTGCTCTCCATAGACTTCATTTGCGAGATTTCTGAACATACCAAGAAGACTCCTACAAGTAAATGAAGAAGTTAATATTCTTTCTAGTGTGGTATGAAGGATTGCAAGACACACTTGTGTAACAGCTGCCTCATAATCTTGAGATTCCTACCATCAGATACATACTTCTTTGGACCCAGGCACTAACCTGCAGAGGGGCCTGCCAAAATTGGAGTTACCAGGGAGGAGAAATATACAAGCCATTGTGTTCTGACAACCCAGCAGACACTGGCTAGCTGTCATTTGGCCAGACTGGAAAATGTAGGGTTGTGGGAGACAAGGGCAAGGCAGGAGAGCTCTGGAGACTAACCCATTATCTAGAGAGGGAAAGTGGTAGGGATAGAAATTAAAGAGAGAGACACATATCAGTGTTGGGGATTGGGGGGTTAGTTGGCTAGGGGATAACAGGAGTTTCCCTAGGAACACTCAGAGGACATTCGGGTGAGCAGTATGAAGAAACAGGATACTAAATAAAAACCACAGTGTCTAAACTAACGTCCTAAAGCCCAGCCCTGCCACATGGAGAACCACAAATGAAAGGCATGTATAAAATGTGCATGTTTCACATTAGAGCCATAGCCATATAAATCAACCAGTTTCATTCCCTTAGATGAGGAAACTGAACCCAGACAGCTGACAATATTTGTCCAAGATCACATTGTGGTGTTTGAGCCTATGTCTTCAGATTGCTAATGCCAGCACTCTTTCTGTCTAACAGATCTCAACATTTTCATCACCCAACATGGTGTGTTCATATAGAACCCTAGTTACAGAAGGTATCATAGTGTAATTTGAAGAAAAGTTAAGTAGTCAGATATGATTGGGAGACATTGATTTGAACAGAGTAAAGTACATTTGGGAAGATTCTTTGAATCCCTTTTAGTGTGGAAGAACTGTGATATGTGATGCTCAAAGAGAGGGGTATAGAATATAGGATTTCCCAAATGTATTTAACTATGAGATCTGTTTCATAATTGAACATCTCAAGGGATCGATGTTCAAAAGAAAACAATTTGGGGGATATTAAGCTATATCATACTGCTCTTCTAACTCTCTAACTTTTCCAAAATGTTTGCGGAATTCATAACAACAAGCATTTATTAAGCACAAACCATCTGCCCAGCCCTGTGCTAAAGCACTGGAGGATACCAGGATGAACAAGGTCCCCGACCCCAGGATGCTTATATTGTCCTAACAATAGTCAGACATGTGCATACATAATTGTAACCCTGCATAGAAAATGATTAAGTACCTCTGGGAAACTGTGATAATGTTTTGGGGGTTAAAAGGTTGGAAGCTTCACCGCTGAACAGAAGAATCTTCACATCACATCTAACAAACACCTAAAGTTAACTTTTCCAAAACTGAGTCTCTGATCCTAAACCTGCTCCTTCGTTAGTCTTCCCCATCTCGGGTCATGACATCTTTCTGTTTCCTCAGGCTAAAACCATTATAATCATCCTTGACTGTTCTTTTGCTCTCTCACCTCACAACCAATCCTTTAGATGATTTTGTTGACTCTAGCCTCAAAATAAATTCAGAATGCAAACACTCCTCACCACCTTTACTACCACACAGGTGTACATTAGGATCATCTCTCACCTAGATTACAGCCACCGTGTCCTTACTAGTCTCCCTGCCTCCACCCTTGCACCCCTATAATTTTCAACACAGCAGTAGATGGAATCCCTTTAAAACCCAAGGCCAAGCGCAGTGGCTCACGCCTGTAATCCCAGCACTCTGGGAGGCTGAGGCGGGTGGATTACGAGGTCAGGAAGTCGAGACCAGCCTGGTCAATATGGTGAAACCCTGTCTCTCCTAAAAATACAAAAATTAGCTGGGCACGGAGGCTGAGGCAGGAGAATCACTTGAACAAAGGAGTTGAAGGTTGCAGTGAACCAAGATTGCACCACTGCACTCCAGCCTGGCCACAGAGCAAGACTCCATCTAAAAAACAAAAAATTAAAACAAAACAAAACAAAAAAACCAAGTCAGATCATGTGATCCCTTGGTTCAGAACAATACAGTAGCTTCCCTATTCACCCAAGTGCAAGGCCAGGTTTCTTACAATGACCTGTATGGTCCTGAGTGATTTGGTCCTATTATCTCTTTGGCCATATATTACTCCTCTCCTCTTTAACCCATTTCCCATTTGAAAAAAAAAAAAAAAAAAAGGTGAAGCTCACTGCCAGTGCTCATTTAATTTTACATAAACACAATCTTTGAGGCTGAAGCAAATCTGACCGATTTCCAATGTGAAAATAAAATATAAAAACTGTTCTTGGAGTTATTTCTAAACAGAACTTGTCTCTAATCCTAATTAACAGAAATGTATATGATGTTACATAAGAGAGCACCTATTTCAAATTACAAGCCCCATTCTCTGTCATTCCTTTCCCTGACTTGCTTTTTCAGCAAACACTTACCTAATACACTAAATAATCTAATTATTCATTTCTTTATTGTTTCTCTCTCCCCGTTAGAATATAAGCTTCAGAAGAGCAAAGATTTTCACCTGATTTGTTTCCTGCTGCTTCTTCTGCACATAAAACAGTGCCCAGCATATAGCTCAATAAATACTTGTTGAATAAAAAATGAGCAGAACAAGTTGTAGGTATTGAGAAAGGCTTAATGAAGAAGGTGGCATTTGGGAAAAGCTGGGGAAGAAGGGGCTGAGTGAACAGAATATTGAGAAGTCTCTCGAGCTGCTTGCATCCTGGTGCAGCTCTGACAGCAGCTGCTGTCTGACCTTGGCCAAGTCGCAGCCTCTCTCAGTTGCACTTTGATTGATCAGGGATTTCAGAATGGGATTCCTGAGAGGGTCTTGGGTGTCTGGGGAGAAAAGTGAGCATGTGGCTCTGCCCCTGTTTCCACCAGAGTGACTTTGCATGTCTCTCATGGACAGGTGGCATCCTGCACAAGACTGCATTTGAAAAGCATTCCACTGCCAACAATAGAAAGCTTGAAAACCATTGCTCTTGGTGGTCTCTAAGGCACCTGCCCCTCTTTAGATAAGAGATCACTGGACAACCCAGGCTAGGAGGATGAAGGCAGATGGGCCTTCCAGGTGGTAGAAAACTATCCCTTAGATCAGTCCAACTGGAAATTGAAGGGTTGGAGCCCACACCCTAGGGCAAGCAGCCTATGTTCCAAATCCTGAACCCTACCACGGCCAAGCTGCTCACCCCAAAGGCTGGGTGTGGGAGACCTTCAAAGCCAATGTCCCACCCTGTCGCTTAGCGGGTGAAGAACACAGCAGACAGCCCCACTTGGGAAATTCAGCAGGTGGCAGAATTCAGTTTGTTCAACTTCCTGGGTAAATTAAGAGCCCAGGATTCCAGCCTCACACTAATTAAATCATAAGAGAAAATGATAGAGTGAAGAAAGACGACGCTGGAGTGGTTGAAAGCTGTAGAAAGTCTGTGCTAATGATAGCTGATTCTACGTTAGCATGAATGCCTTCGGTTACCCATGGAATGTGCTGAAGCAGAGGCTTCTGTCAGGCCAAACACATCTGTGAATAATTGAACAATATTCATGTCGAAGGAGTCAGCAATTTATCACCAACTTGGCCTCCACTTTTAGGAGTGAATAACTTTTTGAGAGAGGAGATTAAAACTGTGTACATACTCACGTGCTACTGTTGCTGCAAAAGAAAGTTCAGATCTGACAACCCTCGTATGTGACAACTTACAACATTAACCTGAAATATTCTGAATTTTATTTATGCAAGATTCAGAATCAGAAGCAATGAAGTTGGACACTCTCCGCCCCTCACCCTCATCAACACACATACCCACTCACAAGCCCCCACTCCAGAGGCAGCTGCTTCTGCTGTGTCCATCTCAATGACTCCAGGCAACCCCTCCACCTACTCCCCCCAGGGACCCTCAGCCTGCACGGTCACGGCTCAGCCCTGAAGGACTCTTCCCTTGGCAAAGCGTCCTGTCAGGTATGCCCTGAGCAGCTGTCAACACTCAGCCACCAGTCCCCATGCACCTGAGATCTCCGGGGAGGGCATTCCTTCAGCAGTGCTGAGGCCAGCCAGATGACCAGGAGAGCCACCGGGAGGAGCCCGGCTGTGAAAATCAACTCAGCACCAAGAGAAGAGACTAGGAAGTCAAAGCCAAGAATCTTAAAGGTCGACCGAGCACAGCAGAGCCAGTGTTTGTTGATAAGAAACCCAAGGCCTGGAGAAGGACAGTGACTTGGCCAAGGTGCAAGAGTAGCAGAGCCACAACTGTGCCCCTCAACTTCCTCATGGCTTTCAGACACATGGACTCATTCCTCCTCTCTGCAAATAAAAAGGTGTTCTGCAAAGAAAACGTTTCACTAAACACTGAACAGGAGAGGTTTGGAAACGTCAGGAGGAATGAATTGCCAACCTCCTGTACACATGGCAGAGCCCTGGCTGAGCAGGTCCCTGGGGCTCTCAGTAACTCATTCCTGTGAGAGGGCTCCCTAGAGGGAGAGGGAAGAGAAAAGGCAGCCCTGAAGTTGAGTTTTCCCACCCTTCTCTGTATGTATGTGTGTATATGCATGTGTGTGGGTTTGTGTATATGCATGTATCTGTATATATACGCATGTATGTGTATAGTGTGTGCATGCATACATGAATGCATATGTGTATATACACGCAGAGGTGCATATGTGTATATGTACATGCATGCATGTGTGCATGTGTCTGTGTATGTGTGTGCACATGCATGTGTGTATATATATGCATGTCTGTGTGGCTTGCGTGCCTGTGTGTATATAGGGGGCATATGTGTATGTATTTATATCTTTGATCATTTTCTTCAGAGGATCAGAGAGACAATGCAGACCATGGATGTAGGAAACTGCCTTCCTTAGGGAGTGATGCTGAGAGAATGACCCTGGTATTGATCTCAGCAAAGCTTGGTATTGCCATTCAGGTTGTGCAAGTTGCTCCCTCTCTGATGACCCACTCATGCCTGGCACTGCCCTCCCTGGCCACCAACCCACAGCCAATTTCCTCCCAGAGCCACAGCCAGGGCCACCCTCACGCCCAGCCACTAATGAAGCTCCTTTCCTCTCAGCTCTGAGGGAAGGATGAGTGGCCAGGAGGAGCAGACCAGCTCCAGATGGGGCCAGCAGTAATGTGACAGGATAAAAATAGAGGTGGCAGTGGCTGGTTTTAAAAGTAAATCTCTGCAGGGGCACCTTTTGATTTAGGACCCTGGAAAATGTTGAGTTCTCCTTTTCCAGGCTTCAACCACTGCCCCAACCCCACTCCCAGCACTGTCTCCCTTCCTACTGCCTGCTTCTTCCAAGAAAAATGACCACATCAGTGTGTTTCCCAACCCAACAGCTCTGTATCCTGGAACTATCAGGTCAGAATAAAGAATACGCCACCAACCCACTATGTGGTCCTCGATCAATCATGCTCCTCCCGGGACCTCAACTTTCATAGACATAAAATGAGGAGTTGGGTTCACACCAGCTTTCTCCTCTCTCCTTCTCTAAATCACAAAGAGTATAGTGAGGGGTCCAGGCATGGGGCTGCCCTCCACCTTAGCAGCCTCAGGCTGGCCTGTCCTCCAGGCCTCCTTTTATGCCACCTTCCTCCTCCCCACTCTGCTGTCCAATTCATCTAGCAGTGGTCAGCATTGCAGCCTTCAGAACTCTTTCACAGATGCAAGTGACAAACCGTGACAGAAAGGAGAAAAATAGAACCTATCACCTCGCCCGATGGAGAGGTCTGAGGATTGATTAGCTTCACACCAGATGCATCCAGAGGCTTGGGCGGCAGCACCAGGACCCTGCTCCTCCTCATGTCCAGGTTTGGGAATGATGGTCTGGGGGTCATGCCCAGAAAGTCTTCCTTCAGCGTGGCTATGTGGCTGCTGAAACCTGTCCATTCTTTCTGCTTCAATTCCAAGATGAAATAAAGGGTTTCTCTTCCAGGAACTCCACAAAGTTCTAGATTTGCTGAGTGGATGAGCAGAGGTCGAGAGCCCAGTCCTGGGAGAGAAGAGGTCTTGGAGGGGGGAACTTGAGTAGAGATCAACGTCATGGCTCACGGCCCCTCAAAGAGAGCTTGGAACCCAGGACAAATAAGCAACTGCTGAATGGGGGAGATGGATACCTTGATTCTGGGATTTCGGTAACACGATTTTGCATCAACAAAATGGGAAATGACCTGTCTCAGGGAAAGGGGCCACAGCTACCAAAAAAGACTTGGAAAATGAGAACTCTGCTTGATACACGCTGAAGAAGGGAGGTCAGAATCCCTCAGGAAAAAATGGCAAGAGTAGGCACCAAAGAGCAGGCACACACACGCATGTACTGCAGAGTAGATGGCGCATTCCAGACCTGCCAACAGGGGCATCATCAGTGTTCATCCCTGTTTGCTAACTGGACCTATGGTATGTCCCTGACCCAGGTGGTTGGATCCTGCAAAGTCCACACTAAAGGCATCACCACCCACCTCTGTCTCCATCTGCCACCCTCCGTCCCTCACAGCCTTCCCTCCTGCCCCAGGCAGAGCCCCTCTGGGCTCCTCCAAAGGCACCCGCAGCCACAGAGCAAGTGAATCAGAATCGAGAGAAATCTCACTCCAACATCAGATGCTGCCTCTTTGCCCAGAAATCTCAATTTGTTTTCCTGCTGAACATTCCAGTTTGTAAATAACATAAAATAAATATATGTAGTTGTTGTTTTACACTTAATACCGTGACAGCTGAAGAAAACTGAGAATGGCAGTCTGCACCAGGCAAGCAGCTTATGCTTAGAAAGGCAGCTGGGCGGGGGCAGAGGGTGGGGAACAGAAACACACAACAAGTCTGCCGTGGGGCTGAAGGGTAATCGCTGCCCCCCAGTCTCTCTGCCCCAGTATGCCCAGCTCTGATTCACCAAATAAGATTCTGCACATCCCAGACCTCTAACCAATAAAATGCCAGTGGACACACTGGATGGATGGCATCCTTGTCCTTCCCTTGTACTTCCAGCAGGCAGCACACAGGCACACACATGCGCGCACACACACACACACACACACACACACGCTTGCCATCGCATGCTCTCTCTGAAACCATGTCCTGATATTTTCCTTCTTCCTGCCTCCCCTTACCTCTCTCCTCTACCATTTCGAATCCTGCTCCTCCATAAAGATCCAGTGCCATCTTCCCCAGGAAGCCTCTTCTGCCCTCCCCAAGCCCAGAAGAGCTCTTTTCTTAGGAACTCTCACTGCACCTTATATGTGTATGTTCCTCCAACGCCCCCAGGTGCTAGTATTTTTCCAGCATCACACTGCAGCACACACAGGGGCAGGATAACCTAGGAGGCAGAGTGTAGTTAGCTTCACACTGGCTGGATTTTGGTCCTGGCTGTGCCATTTAATGGCTTTGCACCCTTGGGCAATTTGCTTACCCTTGCTGGACCTGTCTTTTCATCTGTACGATGGGAAGGATGATACTAATGCTACCCAGCTGCTAGATTGTTACAAGGACTCAGTGAATGACTCTCTATAAAGCAGTCAGACTAGCACCTGGCAGGTCAAAACTGTCATCATGTTCCCTGTTCTCCCAGCCACATCCTCAGCACCCTGAGGGTTAGGACTCTCTTTTCTGTTGGCTCTAGAGATCCTTGTATACAATGCATGCTCAATATGTGTTTGTTGAATAAGCTACTGCTGTATAGCTGGGAAGACACCTTGAGGAAGCCTGGTTATGTGAGCTCTTCTAGACCATCCCCGGTGAACCCGACAGTTGCTTCAAGGCCTGCTCCTTGCCCCTCAGGGAGGTGTGCCCATCCATTTCTGCCTGGCAGCCCCAGTGCCTTGGGGAGGAAGGATAGCCTTTGTGATGTTTATTTTAGAAGCTGTTTTATGTGCACCTGGGCCATGACCTCCAGCCCACAGAATAGCAAATACACCTTTTTAAAATGAGCAAGCTATCAACAAAAACAATATTCATGACATTCAATTGGGAAGGCAGGAGGTAAATGATGAAATTAAAGGTATTGCTGGTGGGTGACAAAGAGCAGAGAAAGCCGTGAAGCAGTGTGCGTGGGCTTGGGGGCTCACGGAGACAGGGGAGTCGCTGCAGCTCTTGAGCCAGTACCCGCTGTTAGGGGATCAGGAACGGAGGCAAACCACAGAGCAGGCTGGAGATGCAAGGGGAGGGGAAAGAAGGGAAGTTGGAACAGAGAGGAAGGCGAGACAAGAAAAGAAGGGAAATCGGCACTCAATCCCAGGCAGAGATTGTTGCTGCAAATTCAAGATCCCTCATTTGCCCTGCAATTAGATCTTGGTTAAGATATAGTTGAGATATCACTAGAATTTGAAAAAGGAGGGGCTAGAGAAACAACAAACCTAGGTTCCCATAAAATTGATGATGAAGATTAAATTCATAGTGATATTTAAAACATCCAGAACACAATCAATGTTATTTACACATTCTCCACTTCGTCATCATTATTGGACTTATAATGGTGACATCTGTTCAGCAAAAGTGTGGAGCCCCTATGTTGTGCTAGAGACCACGTATCTAGGACACACATGTGAATAAGAGGAAGTCCCCACCCTGAGGAAGGAGGAAAGCAGCTATGGAGAAATGTGAATCACCAGGCAGGTGAGGGAGGAGGCCAGAGCCAAAGCAGGGAGCCCCTAAAGCTGCAGAGGTCGGAACTCTGGGGCTGGTCTTTGTAGAATCAGCCTGTTTCCTCTTCTGTGCACCCAGATCTGGGCTGACAGAGTCTTGAGGCTGGTCCAGCTGGGTCATTCTGTGCCAGCCAGACCCGCAGAGGCTGGGCAGGGCCAAGATGCTGCAATCCCTCATCCATCGTGGCTCCTCACTCACAGCCAGCCTGAGCTGCCCTAGACCTTGGATGAGGCTTCCTCTTATGAAGGTCACTCTGGAAATTCTGCTTTCAAATTGTTTCCCTGGTTCAATCAACTTTCACATTCATAATACAACAGAGATCTACAGGGCCACTGAGCTGAAAGCGGCTGTGGCTTTTCATTTCCTGGCATGATTAGGGGGATAATCAGTGTGCTTGGAAAAATAATAAAGCTGAAGTCTGAAGTGGGATCAAAGCAAAGAGTCTGGCCACACACACAGGCCTGGAGACACAGTGACACACAGGCTAAAGCCTTCCCCAAAGGGCAGGAGAAGCGGAGAGGCCCTCTCATGCAGGCTGTGGAGAGGGCTGCAAATCAAACCTGCAGTTGCTGGCTCAGCACCCGCACCAATGGCACCAGCTGGAAAATGTCTTCCACCTGCCCATCAGATTGGGAAAGCAGAGAGTTGAGTACAACAGCTAGAAGGAGAATCGCAGCCTCATCTCCCCACCAGGGAAGAGAGAGCAGGCATGAGGGGGCACTGACTGCCATCTGCTCAGCAGAAACTGCCCCCCCCAGCCACCAAGAAACAAGGAGAAGCTGCCCAGCTGGAGGAGCTGGGGACAGGTACAGCTATAAGTGCTGGGGTGTGGGGCTCAGCTTGGCCACACCACACAGTTCCTAGACAAGAGACCTGGAGGTGTAAATGAGAGAACGCAGGAACCTATCCAAGGTGCAAGCTGTGACCTTACAAACCAAGAGCCCATGCATCTCTGTTTCCCCATTTGCCTGGTGGAGGGAGAAATTCCAGCCCTGCCTCCCCCATGTGACACGGAGAAGTAAGAAGCCAGACACCAATGTAAACTCTTCATCCTGAGGGGCTACAGGACATGAAACAGACTCCAGCTGGGCTGGCCAGATAGGGCTGCTCCCACAGGAACCAGGAGGGAGAACCAGGAGGGCAGAGGATCATGGATCAAAGAGAATGCTCACCGGGCCCCTGAGGTGGTGCCCTGGGTCTTAGAGATGCAGGTGGCAGCAGGAGGCCTGGCAGGGAGGGCAGATTCCCATGCAAGCCCTAAGGAAGGACATAAGGAGTGCTCGGCAGGACAGGCTGGCTGGAGAGTCAGGGCTGCACATCTAGCTCCTGCTTTGACCTTGACCCCTGCCTCTCCCAGCCAGTCACTGCATCGGAAGAGCCAGTGCAGTGCCAGCCATGTTCTCCTCCCCAGGCCAGGCCTGGAATCCCTCATTTGTGAAATGAAGGGGATATCTGAGCCCTGCCCCATCCAGAGTGTTCACTGCAAGGCTCATTGAGAGAAGTGGGGTTTTTGGATAAGGCCCCCATGGAGGGTTGGAGAGGGACATATAAATCTCCTCTTCCATTATCAGGAGAGAAATCTGAGGGTCAGAGAACATCTCCACACATGGTACATTCATCCCCAGGGTTAACACAAGAACATTTTGTGGTGAAATCCAGGTCAGGATAAAAGGAGAACTTGCCTTTAGCAAAACAAGGTCAAGGTTATTATTTCTCAAGGAATAGGGACGCAGTCACTGTTTTTTTTCCCCTAGACTAGAGGGAGAATTCCTCACATAGCCTAGACTGGGTAGTCTATCAGGAAAACTTATTTGCAAGGAAGCAAGTTACATTTGCCTTCGGGACGCTCGGGAGGAATACCAGCAGAGGCTCTGTGGGTAGAGACATGGGTCTTAACTTGAAGCTGCAGAAGTTTTTCTTTTGCTCTGTGCCTCCCCCTTCCCTTTCTCAAGTAAGCAAAGGCTGAGCAGAGGAAGACTCCACTGGCTTTGGCTGGAGCCTGGGGGAGCAGCTCAAGCAAAGCACAGGGTAGAGCAGGGCTCGGACCTGTTCAGACGGTGGTCAGTGAAGGCCGGGATGTCCAGGAGCAGAAGACCAAGGCCTGGCTGGGGAGGATGTAGGGCACATTTGAGGGATGTCAGAGCTTAAAATGAGGTGGCTGGGAAAAAGAAGAACCTGCTGGAACAAAGAAAACAGTAACCCCAGTATTTTGGGAGGCTGAAGCAGGAGGATCACTTGAGCCTAGGAGTTCAAGACCAACCTGGGCAACATAGTAAGACCCTCATCTCTTAAAAAAAAAAAATTAGCCAGGCATGGCGGCACTTGCCTGTGGTCCCAGCTACTCAGGAGGCTAAGATGGGAGGATCAGTTGAGCTGAGGAGTTCAAGGCTGCAGGGACCTATGATCATACCACTGCACTCTAGCCTGGGTGACAGAGCGAGACTCTTGTCTACAAAAATAAAGGAAACAAAACAAAATCCCACCCTTGCATGAAACAATGGAGCAAGTCAGCCCTTAAACACTTCTATGCAAAATAAAGGCTCAGGTTCCTACAGGAGACCGGGGTGCACACACCCTGCATAGGGAAGTCAGAAGCAGCAGAGTTTGGGGAGAGGTAGCTCCTTCCACTGTCATCTGATGCACACAGGCCTAGCCCCTTGCTGGCCCCCAACCAGAAATTGTTCCTACAGACAGTTTTGCAGTGAGGAGGACCTGGGCCTCAAAGGGCCTCCTCTGAATTTAAGTTTCCTCATTCATAAAATGTGAGTGATAAATAATACATCTCTATGTACACCAAGTGTAGGGTGAATGTGATAAACACAGGGAGGTACTTCATAAACACAAAGCTACTCACAAATAATTGGAACTATCACAACACTTTTCTTCTAAAAGTAGTTTTTGACTTTTTGTTGTTGTTGTTTTGAGATGGAGTCTTACTCTGTCGCACAGGCTGGAGTGCAGTGGCAAGATCTGGGCTCACTGCAAACTCTGCCTCCTGGGTTCAAGCAATTCTCCTGCCTCAGCCTCCCAAGTAGCTGGGATTATAGTTGTGTGCCACCATGCCTAGCTAATTTTTTTTTTTTTTTTTTGTATTTTTAGTAGAGGTGGAATTTCACCATATTGGCCAGGCTTGTCTTGAACTCCTGACCTCAAGTGATCCACCTGCCTCAGCCTCCCTAAGTGTTGGGATGACAGGCGTGAGCCAACGTGCCCAGCCTTGACTGTTTATATACCTTGCCTGGGTTTTGCAAAGAGAAAGAAGACTGGGAAGTCCTGTTCTCAAGACGTGTTCATGTTCCCATCTCCTCTTCTCACTTAATATGCTCTCCCACATTCACCTTAGAGGTTCCAGATGCTCTCCATGTGTTCTAATTCCCAAATCATCCCAGGATCTGGACAGCCTAGTGGATGTTCTCTACTTGGGTCTATCTTAAGGCCTAGATGAGTCTACTAAGGCTGCCATAACAAAGTACCATGGACTGGGGGCTTCAACAACATCTATTTATTTTCTCACAATTCTGGAGGCTGGGAGTTCAGATTAGGGTGTTGGCAAGGTTGTTGTTATCTGAGCCCTCCTCCTTTGGGGTGTAGATGTGTATTCCATGGTCATCCCTCTGTGCATGTCCCTGTCCTGCTCTCCTCTTCTTGTAAAGACACCAGTCCTATTGCATAGGGCCCAGCACAGTAGCCGTATTTTAACTTAGTCATCCTTTAAAGACCCTGTCCTCAAACACAGTCACATTCCAAGGTACTGGAGGTTAAGACTCTGACATAGAAACATGAGGGGGGACAAAATTCAGCTTAAAGCAAAACGCATCTCTGCTGTCAGCAACTCTAGGGAGGCTCTCCTGAGCCTCCTGTATCAGGCCAGGAGAGGCGGCCTTCTTGATGCTGCTTTTACATCTATATGGTTTGTCCCCTCCAAATCCCATGTTGAAATTTGATCTCCAGTGTTAGATGTGAGGCCTAATGATAGGTGTTCAGGTCATAAGAGTGGATCCCTCATGAATAGATTAATGCCCTCCCTGAGGCAGGAGGGGGCCAGGGAAGCGAGTTCTGCTCTATTATTGGTTGTTAAAAGGGCTGATTGTTAAAAAGATCCTTGCAGCCAGGCACGGTGGCTCACGCCTGTGATCCTAGCACTTTGGGAGGCTGAGGCGGGCGGATCACATGAGGTCAGGAGTTCGAGACCAGCCTCAACATGGAGAAAGCCCGTCTCTACTAAAAATACAAAAAATTAGCTGGGCATGGTGGTGCATGCCTGTAATCCCAGCTACTCGCGAGGCTGAGGCAGGAGAACTGCTTGAACCTGGGAGGCGGAGGTTGCGGTGAGCCGAGATAGCGCCATTGCACTCCAGCCTGGGCAACAAGAGCAAAACTCCATCTCAAAAAAAAAAAAAAAAAAAAATCCTTGCACTCCCCTTCTTGTTCTCTCTTGCTTCCTCTCTCTCCATGTGATCTCTGCACACACCAGCACCCCTTCACCTCCCACCTTGAGTGGAAGCAGTCTGAAGCCCCCACCAGAAGCAGATGCTGGAGCCATGCATCTTGAATACCCTGCAAGATCATGAACCAAATAAACCTGTTTCCTTTATCAATTACCCAGCCTCAAGTATTCCTTCATAGCAACACAAACAGACCAAGACAGCATCCCCTCGAAGCACCTCTCACTGCTGAGCTATTTCCTGAGTGTGTGTCTCCTGCCAGACTATGACCATCTGAGGGCAGGACCCTGACTCTTCCCTTCTGGGGCTCCAGCACCTCCCATGGTACCTGAGCGACAGACAGCATTCAAGACGTTTCCAGGGGTAAATGAGTGATTAAAGATCCACCATGCCCATCTTGCTCAAAGAAGGAAGCTATCCCACAGCATTTAAAGAATGCCCATTCCAACACACACTGTGTTAGAGCCATGTAAAGGCCAGGTTTGATTTCTTGCTCCCTTTTATTGTGTGATCAATAACTTTTTTAAATCCTTAAAAATAAGCTGCAGGGCAAGACTAGAAAACATTAAAGTGAAGAGAACAACGTCGAAGGAGCCTGCAAGAAGCACGATTAATATGACATTGGCATTACAAGGATATCAATATTAATAGCAATATTAGTGCCAAAAAAAGCATCAGCTTCAATATTTTGCAATTCCTTACAAACATCTTTAATGAGTGATGACAGATGGACAATTCCTGGGCGGAACTGAAATGGACTATCATGAAGGCTGATGGGAGATGGGAACCCAGATGAGTGCTCCTCCTTGAGAGAACCGGCCTTCACGCTGTCTCCCTATGTCTTCAGCAGACTGCAGGGTCATTTCAGAAGCTCAGGCAGTACCCTGGATGCCCCCAGGGATTTTCCTCAGAGATTGAAGAAAAAAAAAAACTATCATTCTATGAACTATCAATGTCACTTGTGAACAAGGTGCTGATTGCAGGCTGAGGATGTGAATGTGGGCGTCCCACTTTAAGCAGGAAATGTACTCCTGCAACACACGATGTGGAACGTGGCCTATTTGAAATTGCATCTTATTGCACATACACCAGGGGGCTCACCCTTTCAAGAGATTCTTTAGCAAAATAATTTATATAGCCAAGAATTCTTTTGTGAAATGAATACAGGTGTGCTCTCCCTTAAGCAAGTCTAATTTACAAATTCAATTTAATTCAACAAACGTTTATTGATTACTTTTTCTGTATTCAGGGCATTGTGCCAGTGCAGGTGATAACAAAGATGCTTAAGACATGATCCCTGCCCTTCAGAAACTCATACTCTAACAGAGGGAGACAGACAAGTGAACAAATACCTCTACAAATGCGGTGAGTGCTATGGTGAAGGCACACTTAAAATTATCTGGGTATCAAGATAAACCAATTTACTAATAATGGAATAGTCAAGTAAAGCTGCAGGGAAAGCAGGGGACAGTTAAAGGAAGGGGACAATTGGAACGGACCTTGACGTTTAAGTAAGAGTTCACCAAGCTGGAATGTGGCCACATCCCACATGATAAGGAACCAGTGTGCCTATGCATAGAACACCCAGGGGTGGTGAGGGAAGGATCACAAAGGTGAAATAGAGGAGAAAGTTGTGGATAGACAGCACACTCTATTGGAGGATCAGATTCAGCCAGACTCAAACCTTTATTCTTCACCCACTCAGCTGATGTACCTAAGAAGTCCTCACAGGATTCCTATAGCTAAACAGCTCTCCTGCTGCACTTACGATATGACTCAATTTACAAGATGTTGATTTATGTCCATAAACAAACTCATTAATTTTGTGTAAAGAGGTCCATTTGTAAGAAAAGAATTGCCACGTCTGGGTGTTCTCAGAGAACGCAGTAAAAGAAGACACTGCCGGAGCTCAGTGCTTGGCTGCACATGGCACACAGGCGGCCCCAGGAAAGTGAGGCTCAGAAATGGAGAAAGCCCATTTGAATGGAAACTCTTCTAAATGTGTCAGAACAGAATAAGGAAGGCACAGATCGACTCCCGGGAGGCTCATGGTGTCTGCATTAAGGAGATGGCAACCCACATTTTCTCTGAATGCTCTTCTCGCCTACATGGAAATTGACCTCCTGGTAGGTTTCAGACCTCAGGGTTCACAGATTTCCCACCTGTTCTGCGACCCTTTTCTGTCCACCGGCTGCTCTCTCCAATTTTCATTATTTTTAGAATTAT
Source organism: Homo sapiens (assembly GCF_000001405.40). Taxonomy (NCBI): domain Eukaryota; kingdom Metazoa; phylum Chordata; class Mammalia; order Primates; family Hominidae; genus Homo; species Homo sapiens. The sequence continues at coordinate 22,112 of NW_017852932.1, forward strand.
ACTGACAGCCAGATGGAACAAAGTCATCTTTATCACTATTATCATGAACATCATCATCACTTTCCAGGATTGTAGTTTGAAAACTACACGCTTGCTTATTTGATCCTGGAAAGGATCCTGAGAGAGACGTAGGCTATGACCTCCAGGTTCTAAGAGAGGCATCTGCGGCTCAGAGAGGATGCTTAACTTGTCTGGGGTCTCACGGCAAATTATTTGCAGAGATAAACCTAAAGCCAGGTCTGGCAACCATCACGAGCTATCTCCTCTTGCTGCACTCTTTCCAATGAGGGTTGAGTCAGCCTCATAGGATGTCAAAGCAGCCAGCCGGCTATGGGGTGTGGATTGAGAGACCTTGGTAAGATCTCCTGCCTCCCAATATTTCCCTGTCTAACCAGTCTCAAGGCATAGAGTTGCACCATTTGGTATTATGTGTGTGTTTGGGGGGAGGGATAAAGATAAATAGCTTCAACTTATAGACTTTTTAACTTTTCAAAAGTCCTTCTGCATGTTATACCACAAAACTCACCTCATGGTAGGGCAAAGGCTATCTATATCTGAGATGCTTTTCACTGCCAAGTGCAAGAGACAGGCAGAAGTGCTCAATGCTATCTGAAACATAGAAGTCTCTATGTAGAGATGGAGTAGCTCCAGGCTGTCAATAAAGTCATGCAAAGAGGTCATTCAGACCTCAAGTTCTTCCCAACTTTCTGCTCTGCAACCTGGCAAGGTGACAGCTCCCCTCTAGGACACACAATGGCTGCAGTGCATGGCTCCAGGCATCTCTTCCTTACATAGCTGAATCAGAAGGAAAACAAAATATATCCCCATTTTATGAGACCAATGAAGATGGTTTCGGACACCCCCCACCCAGTAAACTTCGTTTACTTAACATGAACTACAGCAGGGCCACTAACTCATGCCTGATCAGTCCCAGCCAAAGAAATGGGATTATACTGACTGGCTTCATCTGGTCAGCTTTCTTCCTCTGAAAAAGGCAGAGCTCCATGAAGCCCTCATTTCTTGAATGAGATCTAGGTTCCATTAGTGGGAGGAAGGTGGAATGGCACCTGAATAGGTGACTAACATCTTCTGCCACTTATCCCCAGGTTTAGATTCTTCTAAAGGCCCCATTGAGGAGCTGACACCACACCCCCACCCCCTGTAGCAGTTAAGCTATTATCAGCTTTATAGGAGCATAATTGTTAAGTGTTGTAACACTATCAGCTAGTAAGGCCTATGCTCCTTTATCAGCTGTTATTAATCCTAGTAGGTATTTGGTTTAAAAAAAAAAAAAAGTCTTGTTGTAATTAATCCCACCAAGTTCTGATTATGTTTCTAAAAGACCACAAAAAAAATAAAGCGCCAAGAACTGGACGCTAAGCTAGGCCGGGGATCCAGAGAATAGGAACCCATTCCAAAAAGCGGCTGGGAGGATGTACAGATGCCAGGACATGGCAAACATGGCAGGAGGAAGGGGCCACAGAAATGTCACTTCACCCAGCATGTCGGCCTAGGACTGACCGACCCCAGGGTACCCCAGGCGGGGCTGTGAAGTTGAGAAACTGAATCAGGTACACGTAGACTATAGGAAACTCAGCAACTCTCAGGCCAGATGAAGCCAGACATCTGAGGCTGACCCAGTTCTAAAGGCCGTTGTCAGAACTGCTCTTTTTAATGATAAATACTTGCACCGGCAGCACCAAATTGCATCTCATACTTTGCCCAGTCCTCCCCTTTGCCTAGTCCTCCCCTTTGCCTGTCTGCTTTTCTGATATTGCAATGGTGATGGTTGGTTTGAGTCAGGGCCAGCAGCAGAAGAGAGAAATATTATAGGTATAGGTGCCCCGAGTCTCCTGGGTAGTGTTTCCTAATTCCCAACAGACAGTAATCTGCACAATTTAAAAACAAGACATCAGAATTAATGGTAATTCTTGGGAGTCCCCTCCATTCATTAGTTATTCCCTATTTTTCATAACACTTCATCTCCGTGTTTTTAAATAATAATGAGTTAATATAATAAACAGTGAATCATTTTCAGGTTATCACAAAAGTTTTTATTAAAAACATCATAAATGTTTTTTATCATCATAAATGGTTTATTGTTATTATAAAAATATTTTATGACAAGCTCATATACTGCAATAAGTATATACTTCAAGATTATATAATTCAATATAATTCAAGAGTATAAACTTCAATATGTAAAAATGATCTCTCCCCGATAGAGACGTTTGATGATCAAAAACATTAAAAGAAGGGAAGGGAATATTAGCAGAAAACGAATGCCAAATAAAAGTTACTTAAAATTTAAAAATAACAGCACAATATTTAATATTTAAATGCTCATTTAAATTCTCAAAATGAAACATTAAAACACACAATGCATTAATTGCCCTACCCAAAAGTTTCGATCTTTTTGTACGTGTGACAAATATTCTGGACAGAAAATTTCTTTCATTTTGCACTGACGTTTTTCAAGCTGATAAGATTGTGTCAAAAAGCGACTTCAAGCTGGCATTAAGGTCCATGATGCTTTACATAAGCTCATTTCCTTTTTTAATGGCTAAAGCATTTTGTCTGCTTGATCTGACTTTGGTTTTGTCTTCGAATTCATTACTGCTTCTGCTAATTTAGATTTTTAAATCAGTTTCTGCTTTAATGGTGTAGTATTCCCACAACATCCAAATCTTCTCTTTGCATTTCTGTTAAAGCATTTGCAAATAACTGTAATGTAACTTACAGCAAATATTCAAGCCATAAACATTTTGGGGTAGTAACGAAATAATTTTTGGATCTCCTAGCAAGCACTCCTAACAGCACCACACAGACTCACATGCTGAAATTGCCAATTTAATGACTTATTTCACTTCCAAAATGTATTATTTCCTGAAACACCACCCACAGAATCTGTATAAAGTTATCCATGTGTATCATCTTACTAATATTTATTTTATCTGCAATAAGCACTCACCACTAGCAGCAGACAGGGCAATGAACTCACTCTTCTCACATGTCAAAGACTCCAAGCACCTGGCTAGAATGACCGCTACTCTCCCACCTGCTCCTGTCCAAGTCCTGGAAACTAAGACCTTGAGCTTTAACTCCTGCGGTCAGGAGTTTCTACTTTATCTCAGCAGATTCTTTCAAAGTAGTAACATCTTTATGTTGACTGTTAAGCTTCGGTCATTCTTGAAGGAGACCTATATTGCTTTTCACCATTTACCCAGTTTCTCAACTGATTTTTCTCAAGATTTGGGAAAACACATGCATTTCCTGAGAAATTCTGGAAAAGAAGTCTCGTCTAGAATACTCTAGCGGGCCATCACACAGGTGAGAGGAAAGTCTCACCAGGCACGGCTAGTCCAAGTCAGACACTGGATGTGGATGTCCTGAGCCCCTCACCCCGCCCCAGGCTGGAGGGCAATAGTACCAGTGCACCCCTTCTCGATGACCTCCTCTCCTCCCCCTGCCACAATTCCTGCCCCCTGTCCAGCCAATTCACCCGAGGCTCATCCAGAACTGTCTGCCCTTCTCCCCTATTTCCCCAGCTCAAATTTACCTTCTTCCTTCTCTCTCCAGTCCCAGCCAACACACAAACACCTCTACTGCCAACATTCTTATTTTCTGAGCAAAATCAGTATCAGCCAGGAGCTTGTCCTAATCACCACTGTGACAATTAAAGCAATTCAGACTAAAGTATGAATCATACATAAATTTCCACTTACTATCAACATAATGTTGAAAATATCACCTCTTTATACTGAGCCTGTTTTTTGATCTATAAAATGGGAGATTCAAATTCCCAACTTATATTTTTGAGAAGACGATATAATATAGGTAAAGCACAGAACTGTTGAGCGCTCAGAAATTGTGAGTTTCCGTCCTTCTCCAAAATGTATAGTATTTGAATTTTAAAGGAAGAGCTTTTGAGTGCAAGTGGGTCATATATCAGCCACTGGAATTGCAAGCACCATCCTCAGAGCAGAATCAGCTGTATCTGTAAATCCAAATATGAAGAAGTGTGGGCAAATTCCTCTCTTCTTGTTCCCCAAAAGGTCTATATTTACTAGCGCTGTGTCAATTCCAGTAACTTCCCACTTGGCATATTTGCAAAGTACGATTTGGATTAAGAGAGTTGGCCCACTAACCCAATACCTAGCCCACTGCTGCTGCCCCCAGCGGCTGGACTAAAGTAAATGCTCAATAAATGTTTGCCAAATTGAATTTCCTTCTCCCTGGATTAATCGGTGGCAGAAGAGAGGAGCTGGCTCCCTCTGGGGTGGCTCCACTGCCCACAGCTTCATGACTCATGTCTTCGAAGGCCTTGCAGTGGCCACCCCCTTCCTTTGCCACTGACCTCCCCTGCTTCTTCAGCATGTTTATGGACATAATTACAGCATGCTATTGATTTCCTGACAGCCGCCTTGATGTAACTATTTTACAGAATGAAGCTAATTTCATACATTGAGGTTTTTATGGTCTCTGGCAGACTCAGCCCAAGAAGTCCTTCTGTCTCCTCCCTGGGAGCTCCTGCCCCTTCTCAGAATGCAGCCGCTCCCAGCCCCTCCTCCCCTGAAGCTCTCTGGGCTCCCCTGCCATCCAGAGTTTCTGTCTTCTCTTGCTAGCCCCACCTTCATGGCCACATGAGTCAGCTGTCTCATAGGGAAACAGGGAGGTCTTCGAGGTCCCAGGAAGGCAGGGCAGTGCATCTGGGGATAAGAGGGAACCCAGGGATTCCTCTCACTTTTAAAACGTAAGTGTGCCCCACTTCCCTATTACACTCTGCATCTAGTCCTGGGCTCATTCCAAAACCCCTTTTCTATATGTTTCTCCTAATGACAGCTTACAGCAGACCCAAAGAGACAATCTTATTTAATCAACATGCCAATCCTGTGGTTATGTTATTTTGTCCATTTGACAGATGTGGAAAATGAGGCTGAAAAAACAAAGGAGCTTTGCAATATAAAATATTAACAACTAGCGTATGAACACCCTTCACACAATGGCTTCCCGTGAGTATTCTTCTCCAGTTAGAGATAAGGGGTTGCAGCAGCAAGATTTAGACAGCCAGCCTTCTCATGCTAAGCCCTTTCCTCACACTGCAGCTCCTTGCTGTGGCTGTTCTAGGTCCCAGGCAAGCACTGCTCCTACACACCGCCTAGCCTTGCTGTGTTACACTTAAACACCCAGACGCATCCCTCCTCTGCCTGCCAGTCCAACTCTGATCTGTCCCTGAAGAGTTTCCTCTAGTCCCATCCCTACCAGGCAACCTTCCCTTATAACTGCATCCTTCAGGGACCTCTCCTTACTCTTAACACAGTGTATGTGTTGTCTGTTATTAGATAATAAATGTACCAAAGTGGATATTTAATACAATTGAGCCTTATTCCCCTCATCGCTTAAAGTAGTGGACCTGCATTGGTTCAATCTTCACCATTCATTTCCCCAATGCATGTAAATTGCTCCATTTCCGAATGTCCCCATCTTCTATTTAGGGAATGAGAGGACACCAGGGAAGTTCCAGAAGTGAGACCCAAAACCAAGGCAAGGCCAATCCATACATTCATGTGATGTAAGGTGGTCCAATCAGAGCAAACGTCTAGATGGCTGCAAGGGATGCCAGACAAGAGACTTGCTTTTCCAGTACAGCCAGCACTAAGGAAGCAAAGTCAGGCACTGCAGAGAGAGACAGAGAAACTGGGTCTGGGTCAAACATTTTGTGCTACAAGATCAAGCCTTGCCTGAAGCTAGCACATTCCTTTCTCCAGGACTTTTCAGTCACATGAACCAACTCATTTCTCTGTTTAAGCCAACCAGTTTTAGTCAGGATTTCTGCACCCTAAGGGATTCTAGTGCATGTTCTTGAATGGTGATTTTTTTTCCTGATGCATATAAATGCAGAGGCAGCATGATTCTCGATTTAGGCTTTGAATTTTTATAAGAGAATATCAAAATACATTTAGCTCCAATGATCCTTTTATATGACTTACTGGATTTTTGTTTTATCTGATTACAAAATAATACATGTTCATTAAAACACTTTAGAAGTCCCATCATGCAAGATTACTACTAAAAACCAAGATATATTTACTTTTATTTAAATATGTACAGTGTTTTACAAAATTGGGATGAATCATGATGTGCATGTATAATTTTGAATCCTCCTTTGGTCACTTAATGTCAGCAAGCTAGCACAATGGAAAAAGAAAAAGAAAGAAGCCAGAATGCCTGGGTTCAAATCTGTCCCTATCATTAATATCTATGTGACCTTGAACAAGTTATAGAAATCTCGCCATGTCTCAATGACTTAGTATGTGAGAAGAGTATAATGATGGTACTAGATTTACAGAGGGTATGTGAGGATTAAATAAGATTAAATTACATATTTAGTGTGGTACATTTCATATAGTACAAGCTCAATATTGCACAGGTTGAATCTCAGATGCTAATGGCTGTTCAAGAGTACCCACTGGTAGATATCTCTTGTTATGGCAGATGGTCCTGGGCATTGTAATATACCCTGCATTATCCCTGCCCTCTATGCACTAGATACCTGTAGTACCCTCATCTTTACAACCAAAAATGTCTCTAGACATTGCCAAATCTCCCATGGGGGACACAACCACCTCACAGTCACCTCATGTGAACACCACTGCTGCATTGTATTTCATTATATAGTTATACCATAGTCCATTTTAATCCACTTCATTGTTGTGTAGCTAGAATGTATACAACATTGTTAGATGACAGTGGTATTGCAGTATCGTTATGCTTTTCCAAGTTTAATGATAATTCCTTTTGTATTTCACCATCACCTGTAAGATTGAACTTTTCATTTGTGATAAACGATATTATATCAAGTTTTATTAAACTTTTATGAAGATATTTTACAAACAAATGGCATTTTATCAAATGTCACTGAGGCATCAACTCAAATTTTCTCTGCCTCACTTATTCCTGGATTGTATTAATAGAATTCCTAACATTAAGTGGTTCTTACATTCTTGAGAAATGCCTAACTGCATGTGGTATAGTATTCTTTTCTTAATAGCAATGGATGGCATTTAAGGATTTTTATTCTCATTTCATAAAAGAAATTAAACCATTATTTACTTTTCTTTTATGATAGGATTATGTTAGATTCACAAAATGATTTTGAAAGTTTTCCACTTTTATATATGATTAGAAATTGTTAATTTCTCCCTAAAAATTATGTTTCTTGAAATTTAGTCAACTGAATTATAAGAAGCCATGAGCATTTTTCAAAAGGTAATTCTTCAGCAATTTTTTCTTGCAATTTCTTCAAACAATATGAGTTTTCTATTTGTAAGTCAATTTGGTGATTAATATCTTCCTACAAAATTATGTCCTGTGATCAAAATTTTTTTAAAGTTTAGAATATTATATGTCAATATCATGAAACATGCTGTATTTTCAGTATCTGCAGCTATGTTCACTTTCTAATATCTAAGGTTTTGTATTATTCTATTTTTGTATTAAATATTTGTATTATTATTGTATTAAATATTTTGTATTTTTATTGTCATATTATTATAATTTTATATAATCGCCATTATTTTTAATGGCAAAACCCACAATTACTGTGGCAGCAACCTAATGTATTTGTTTTTTCCTTTTTCCTGTTAGACTTTCTAGGTCTTTCTACTGCTATTTGAATTCAAGAATAGCTCTCCTGTTTTTTTCCCTTTATGTTCAGTTTCTTTGTTGCCTATTAAAATATTTTAATTATTTCATTTTATTGTAATCATACAAGCATTTAGCCTATGAATTTTCCCTTTTGTATAGCTTTTACTTTACCCCATAAAAGCCTTTATATAAACTATTCTTATTGTTGTTACTTTATAGTCTACATTTCTTCTTTGACCTAACAATTAAGCTGAGAAGTTTTTAGTTTCTAAGATCTCAGATCTGCCTTATTTAAAACTTTTTTTATTGTTATCTATGCTTTATTTGTGGTCAGTGAACATGTTCTACATAAACACTGATTTTTAGTACTTACTAAACTTTTAAGTTTTTTCACTGTTCTAAGAATAGTTGAAAGGAAGGTTTATGATGTCTTCATAGAGTTAAACTTTGTTATCCATTTTATCAAATAAAAGTTACTAATTCCACTGTCCACATACCTCACACCTTCATTTTTTGCCCACCTCATCTGCTATGTTCTGAGAAAAATATATTGCCATCCCTCCACAAATATTTTTTGTTATTTTCTCCTTATATTTTCTAATGCTTTCTCTTTAAATATTTTAATATTCAATGATTTGACATCATCTACTGTTTCATTTATGACTGCTACATTTTTATTCTGGATTTTTATTTCATCAATATTACATAATACTCTCTGTGCTTCAAATTCTATTGTTGTTATATTAATATTGTCACTACTACAATTTGTATGTCTTTTCCTGATATTTTTCACCCAGCCTTTATTTATCGTTTTCTGTTGATCACTGTAGATTAGATTTATATCTTGTAAATGGCATGTAGTTGACATTTATTATTTGACCTAATCTAAGAGTCTTTGTATTTCAATGGAAAGGTTGACCCTTTTACTTTTTTGTCATAAATTTTACATCTAGACTTAATACTGTCACTTCATTTTAGTATTTCTGTCCCTGGAACTTCCTCAACTTTTCTGATTTTCTTGACTTGTTTTTACGTTGTAATTTTCCTTCTTTTTAAAATTCCTATTTAGTAGAGAGAACATAAATTATTTTCTTCATGTATTTTCCCCTCTTACAGCCTGGATGGTAGAAAACATTTTAAACTCTTAGTGGTCCTTCTGAGTTTTAGAAAATAATTCTTGAGCTTTGTTTTTCTAATAATCAATGTCAAAAATAAACAGTACCTATTAACTTATCCCTGTAAGATGAGGAAACCAGTATGCTTTTAATGCCTTCAAATCTTCTTTCACCCCATTCTTGGAATAAAATGTGTTTTTTGTTTTTTCACTTTTGAGAATGACTTTTTACTTTCCATTTTACTTTGTAGCTATGTTAACAAGAATTATTTAGATTTTACTCCATAGTTAACTGATCTCAGTGCTTACCACACAAGCTTTTTGGGTTTTTTGTTTATTTGTTTGTTTGGTTTTGGAGACAGAATCTCACACTGTCACCCAGGCTGGAGTGCAGCAGTGTGATTTGGGCTCTTGGCAACCTCCACCTCCCGGGTTCAAGCCATTCTCGTGCCTCAGCCTCTGGAGTAGCTGGAATTACAGGCACGCGTCACCATGCCTGGCTAATTTTTGTATATTTAGTAGAGACGGAGTGTCGCCGCATTGGTCAGGCTAGTCTTGAACTCCTGATCTCAAGTGATCTGCCTGCCTCGACCTCCCAAAGTGCTGCCATTACAGGCATGAGCCACCGTGCCCAGCCCCAAGCTTTTTCTTTGGTAACTTCCTTGTGCTTAAATTCTTCATTCTTTACGTGTCTCTATTAACTGGAATATATTCCAGTACTTTTTCTCAAGAAGGAAATAGAATTGTTCTACATTCTGGACTCTTATGTTTCCGAAATTGTGTTTCTCTTGTGTTGATAGCCTGACTAAATTTTAAAAATACTTGAATCATGATTATTTTCCCTCAAAGTCTGTAGCTCTTTATAGGAAGGCAAGCTACATGCGGTAACAAACAACCTCGGAATCGCAGTGGCTTAACACTTGTCAAAGTCCATTTTGGGGAACAGAAGGCAGCCTTCTGCGACAAGACTTAGGAACCCAGGCTCTTTTCATTTTTACCTGGTCTTCTGCTCTGCCTTCAGCATCTGGCTGATCAATGAACAGAGAAAATGAAAGGAAGAAAGGAGGAGAATAGTAGATCTCATAGCAGATTTTAGGGGCCAGGCCAGAAGGGGCATGGGTGGCTTCTGCCCTCAGATCATCAGACAGAACTAGTTACAGGGCCACTTACATGCCAGCGGGCTGGGAAATGTCTTCCTGTGTTCCCAGACAGAAAAGGAAATGGTTTGATGAATACGAAGCCCTGTCTGGGCCACAGAATTACCCTACTGTCCTGTATTTGCAGAGAAGCTGGAAGATATTTTAATTTTAATTTTTGTAACTACATAGTCAAACTATTTGTTTCTATTTTTTTCCATCTTTGCAATTCAAAAATTTAGCGAGGATGTGTGTTGATGCCGTTCCCTTTAAATTTATTTTGCCTGCGTATTTAGGCCAATTTGCAATATACATTTTCTTCCATTTTGACTTTGTTCTTTCTGTATAAATTGTTCTGGATTATTCATCAGCAACACTTATGATTCCTACATTGTATCTCCTTCTCCCTTCTCCATTCCCATTATCTTCCCATCACCTTCATCTCTTTATTTTTTCCCCTCTGAATATAAGAAGAATTTGTTCTTCTCATCAATAACTGGAGTGTTAGCAGTGTTAACTCCTGCTTTACTACCTGCCATATGAATTTTATTTATTCTATTGCATTAAGGGATCCTTCAGTTTTATTCCTATTTCATCCATCTTCTTTTCAATCTGCTTTCACCTCAACCCATTTTCTTCCTTAATGTTTCTATTTCTCTTGGTATTTTTTTCTTGGATCCTTGATAACATTTTTTCTCTTCTGTTAATTCATTTCCAAACATGACATACACCACCTATACCAGTGGTGGCTAACAGGCAGGACATGTGGTTTGCCCTGGGCCTTGCACATTTTGGAGTTGAGTAGGGTGGCAGAGAGTTTTGACACACATACCAATGGTAAGACTCACCCTTTCATGTCCTATCAGTACTCAGCAGAGCAGCATGTAGCCCAGACTTAGAGAGATCGAGAATATTCTGATATGAGTCATGCCATAGCATGCACTGGTATCCTGGACAGAAGCACAAATGCTGCGCTGCTTAAAGGCTAGGCATCAGCCAGTCAACACTTGGGCATTTGTAGAAGCCTCTTCTTAGGTATAGCTACAGGTATGTGTGCAACATCTACCCAACTTCCAGGGCCCCCAGACCATTGAGATGGAAGGTTCCCAGAGTCTCAGAAGGTAACCAAGAGACTTTCTCAGGATCCAAGCCGATTTTCCCCAAGAGTATCCTCCTGCAAGTTCAGCAGAGAGGAGTGTCATAGCTACCCTGGCCAACAGTGCACATCTCTGTGAGCCAAAGGCGACCTTCACTGGGTGCTCCTGTAGCAGCACCACACATGGTTGTCCTGCATCTTATTGATTATGTATCAAGAAATAGACTTAAAAGGAGAATTTAATGTTATTAAAATCTGGGTTCACTCCCCACACTTAATATTTTTCTGTCTCCATTTTAACTTGCCCGGTAAAGCCAAAACTTAATTTTCTTCTGGTTCCTGGATGCTAAACAAATAGCTACTTTATTAACACATTGTTGAATACATGAATGAGTGAGCGAGTGAATGATTTTAGGAAACAAACCAACAACTAAACCATGACTGCCTGAGTGAAATGATCAGAATAAGCTCCCCTTGGTTTCTTTTCTTGCTTGGAAGAAGGAATCAGGAAGGCTACTCAGAGACACCTCCTGAGTACCCTCCCAGCTAGAGCATGTGGGAAGCTTGGCCAACCACCCCCTGCCTGCAACCCCAGCCCTTCTCCTAGCCACTGCTGGCCACAGCTGCTGCCAACTCTAAGACTCCACGCAGACAGCAGCTGCAGCCACCACCACTCCACACAGATCTGCCTTGTCCAGCTTCCCAGGGCTGAGGCTCCCTGTCCCTTCCCACACTAGTTATAGCCAGAGATCTTTCTCCTGGGTCTTATCCATCTTTCTTTCTAGGGGAGAGAGGGCAGGGGGCACAAGAAGTGGGACTTGCTGCAGATATTGACACTTCCAGGTGTAGAAACACAAAGAACAAAGGAAAGATTGGGGTCAGGATCAGAGACTCACCACGAAGAATGGTGTGTTCTGTAAAAATGGCAGACTGTCAGCCCCTGAGCTTGTGGATCTGACAGGTAAATATGTGATCAAGGCGCCAAGGTGACATGGTGACAGGTGCCTCTGACATAAACACAAGCCAGAATGTAATGAGGACGTTGCCAAACCACCAGCAAAGTGCCGGGCAAGATGCTCTACACAATACAAACTGAAGATCAGAGGGGCAGCCCTCATTCCTGATCAAGGTTAACTCTGTACAGGGTCAGTTAATGAGTCCAAAGGGCTAGGGAGGATGGCAGTTTCTGAGCTGATGGGAGAAGCTCTGACGGGGAGCAGAAGAACTGACAGGTAGCCCCGGGTCTTCCACTAACTAGCTGTGCCATCTCAGACCAGTGTTAACCTCCTGAGGCCTTGATATATTATCCCATGAAATGGGATAGCCAAATTTGTTCTTTTTTTTCATTAATTCTCACCAAGTCCTGTTGCATCTGCAACCCCCACAACTCACATTTGGAGCTACTTAACCCACAAATGGACCCTTGACCAGGGCTAGCAACCAACTATGTCTTCAGTTAGTGTCAGTTTAAGGGTCCTAACTTAACAACACTTGTGATAACATAACAACAACTGTGATGCTGGCACTGGTCTAACGGCTTGACATATAAAATAAATTAATCCTCAGAACACTGTGCTGAGGTATGTACTGTCATTATTTCCACTGGAGGATACTGAGGAGCAGAGATGTTGGGTAACCAGCCCAAGGTCACACACTAGCAGGCAACAGAGCCACGCTATACCACACTGGCTCTGTGCTCTGGAGACTCAGCTGAAGTCAGACTTTCTGATAATCCAGCTCTCGCTTTGGGCCAAAGTGTCATTCCTATTCTTCTGGCTTCCATTGAAAACCACATTCCTACCTTCTACTCCACGTGCAGTAGTTGAATTCCATCCTTATTCCCTCCGGCTGGGACTGTGTATTTCTTATGTCCCTGGGACCCCTATTCCTCCGAAACTAGGATCCCCTTTTTCCTTTATTGGTTATGCACCCCACCCCATACCTTATTCAAGGACTGGAGTCCCATATCAACTGAAGCTGTTCCCTGTGGTCCACCTCTGTTATACTGACAGCATCCCCGGGCTGGAAACTGCTCCAGGCGGTGGTTCCATCTAATTCATCCTCACTTGTGGGGCTAGTTCAGCATGGCCCAGGTCAGGGGCTCAGGTGAACCAGCTCAACTGGCTTCCTCCTCGATGGCTCCCCTACCTGTGAACATCCCCCTAATGTTGGCGGCGCACCTGGCCACCACCTGTGACTAGCTGTACACAGAGGAGCTTTCTATCCAAACAGTAGGCAGAAGTCAGGCTTTGGGGACAGACACCTCTACTTGGGAATCATGTCTCTTCTGTTTCATCTATTCTTTTGTGCTTTATACATTTTGGAGGTAAAGTTTACATATAAGATGAATAGTTCTTAACAGGTACAATTCAACGAGCTTTGCCAAATAGATACAGCCATGTGACTAACAGCCCAGTCAAGACATAGAACATCTCAATATTCCTGGGCAAGAGGGTTGAATAGGAACAGCTCCAATCTGCAGCTCCCAGTGAGACCAACACAGAAGGCAGGGCATTTCTGCATTTACAATGGAGGTACCTGGTTCATCTCATTGGGACTGGTTAGACAGTGGGTGCAGCCCACAGTGGGTGAGCAGAATCAGGGTGGGGCGTCACCTCACCCAGGAAGCTCAAGGGGTTGAGGAACTCCCTCCCCTAGCCAAGGGAAGCCACAAGGGACTGTGCCATGAGGGACGGTGCTATCTAGCCCAGATACTATGCTTTTCCCATGGTCTTCACAACCCACAGACCAGGAGATTCCCTGGGGTGTCTATACCACCAGGACCCTGGGTTTCAACTACAAAACTGGGCGGCCATTTGGGTAGACACTGAGCTAGCTGCAGGAGTTTTTTTTTCATACTCCAGTGGCACCTAGAATGCCAGCAAGACAGAACCATTCACTCCCCTGGAAAGGGGCCCAAAGCCAGGAAGCCAAGTGGTCTAGCTCAGTGGATCCCACCCCCATAGAGCCTAGCAAGCCAAAATCCACTGGCTTGAAATTCTCGCTGCCAGCACAGCAGACTGAAGTTGATCTGGGATGCTCAAGCTTGGTGGGGGAGGGGCATCCACCATTACTGAGGCTTGAGTATGCGGTTTTCCCCTCACAGTGTAAACAAAGCTCCCGGGAAGTTCGGACTGGGCAGAGCCCACCGTAGTGCCACAAAGTCTCTGTAACCAGACTGCCTCTCTAGATTCCTCCTCTCTGGGCAGGGCATCTCTGAAAGAAAGGCAGCAGCCCCAGTCAGGGGCTTATAGATAAAATTCCCATCTCCCTGGGAGAGAGCACCTGGGAGAAGGGGCACCTGTAGGCACAGCTACAGTAGATTTAAACATTCCTGCCTGCCGGCTCTGAAGAGAGCAGTGGATCTCCCAGCACAGTGCTTGAGTTATGCTAAAGGACAAACTGCCTCCTCAAGTGGGTCCCTGACCCCCATGCCTCCTGACTGGGAGACACCTCCCAGCAGTGGTCGACAGACATCTCATACAGGAAAGCTCTGGCTGGCATCTGGCGGGTGCCCCTCTGGGATGAAGCTTCCAGAGGAAGGAGCAGGCAGCAATCTTTGCAGTTCTGCATGCTCCACTGGTGATACCCAGTCAAACACGGTCTGAAGTGGACCTCCAGCAAACTCCAACAGACCTGCAGAAGAGGGGCATGACTGTTAGAAGGAAAAGTAACAAACAGAAAGCAATAGCATCAACATCAACAAAAAGGACGACCACGCAAAAACCTCATCCAAAGGTCACCAACATCAACGACCAAAGGTAAATAAATCCATGAAGATGAGGAAAAACCCATGCAAAAAGGTCGAAAATTCCAAAAACCAGAATGCCTCTTCCCTCCAGAGGATCATAACTCCTCATCAGCACGGGAACAAAACTGGACAGAGAATGAGTTTGATGAATTAACAGAAGTAGCCTTCAGAAAGTGGGTAATAACAAACTCCTCCAAGCTAAAGGAGCATGTTCTAACCCAATGCAAGGAAGCTAAGAAACTTGATAAAAGGTTACAGGAAATGCTAACTAGAATAACCAGTTTAGAGAATAACATAAATGACTGGATGAAGCTGAAAAACACAGCACAAGAACTTCCATAAAACATACACAAGTATCAATAGCCAAATCAGTCAAGTGGAAGAAAGGATATCAGAGATTGAAGATAAACTTAATGAAATGAAGCATGAAAGCAAGGTTAGAGACAAAAGTATGAAAAGGAATGAACAAATCCTCCAAAAAACATGGGACTATGTGAAAAGACCAAACCTATGTTTGACTGGTGTACCTGAAAGTGACGGGGAGAATGGAACCAATTTGGAAAACACACTTCAGGATATCACCCAGGAGAACTTCCCCCAACCCAGCAAGACAGGCCAACATGCAAATTCAGGAAATACAGAGAACACCACAAAGATACTCCTCTAGAAGAGCAGCCCCAAGACACATAACTTTCAGCTTCACCAAGGTTGAAAAGAAGGAAAAACTGGTAAGGGCAGCCAGAGAGAAAGCTTGGGTTACCGACAAGGGAAGCCCATCAAACCAACAGCAGATCTCTCTGCAGAAACCCTACAAGCCAGAAGAGAGTAGGGGCCAATATTCAACTTCTTAAAAGAATTTTCAATTTCATGTCCAGCCAAAGTAAGCTTCATAAGTGAAGGAGAAATAAAATCCTTTACATACAAGCAAATGCTGAGGGATGTCACCACCAGGCCTGCCTTACAAGAGCTCCTGAAGGAAGCACTAAATATGGAAAGGAAAAACCGGTATCAGCCACTGCAAAAACATCCCAAAATGTAAAGACCATAGACACTATGAAGAAACTGCATCAACTAATGGGCAAAATAACAGCTAGCATCATAATGACAGGATCAAATTCACATATAACAATATTAAGCCTAAATGTAAATGGGTTAAATGCCCCAGTGAAAAGACACAGACTGGAAAATTGGATAAAGAGTCAAGACCCATCAGTGTGCTGAATTCAGGAGACCCATCTCATGTGCAAAAACACCCAAAGGCTCAAAATAAAGGGACAGAGGATTTATCAAGCAAATGGAAAGCAAAAAAAAAAAAAAATCAGGGGTTGCAATCCTAGTCTCTGACAAAACCAACTTTAAAACAATAAAGATCAAAAGAGACAAAAAAGGGCATTACATAATGGTAAAGGGATCAATGCAACAAGAAGAGCTAACTATCCTAAATATGTATGTGCCCAATACAAGAGCACGCAGATTCATAAAGTAAGCTCTTAGAGACCTACAAAGAGACTTAGACTCCAATACAATTATAGTGGGAGACTTTAACACCCCACTGTCAATATTAGACAGATCAATGAGACAGAAAATTAACAAGGATATTCAGGACTTGAACTCAGCTCTGGACCAAGTAGACCTAATAGACATCTACAGAACTCTCCACCCCAAATCAACAGAATATACATTCTTCTCAGCACCACATAGCACTTATTCTAAAACTGACCACATAATTGGAAGTAAGACACTCCTCAGCAATACAACAGAACAGAAATCATAACAGTCTCTCAGACCATAGTGCAATCGAATTAGAACTCAGAATTAAGAAACTCACTCAAAACCACACAACTACATGTAAACTGAACAACCTGCTCCTGAATGACTACTAGGTAAATAAGGAAATTAAGGCAGAAATAAATAAGTTCTTTGAAACCAACGAGAACAAAGATACAATGGAACAGAATCTCTAGGACACAGCTAAAGCAGTGTTTAGAGGGAAATTTATAGCACAAAATGCCCACATGAGACAGCAGGAAAGGTCTCAAATCAACACCCTAACATCACAATTAAAAGAACTAGAGAAGCAAGAGCAAACAAATTTAAAAGCTAGCAGAAGACAAGAAATAACTAAGATCAGACCAGAACTGAAGGAAATAGAGACATGAAAAACCCTTCAGAAAATCAATGAATCCAAGAGTTAGTTTTCTGAAAAGATTAACAAAATAGGTAGACCACTAGCCAGACTAATAAAGAAGAAAAGAGAGAAGAATCAAATAGACACAATAAAAAATGATAAAGGGGATATCACCACTGATCCCACAGAAATGCAAACTACCACCAGATAATACTATAAACACCTCTACGCAAATAAACTAGAAAATCTAGAAGAAATGGATAAATTCCTGGACACATACACCCTCCCAAGACTAAACCAGGAAGAAGTTGAATCCCTGAATAGACCAATAACAAGTTCTGAAATTGAGGTAGTGATTAATATTCTACCAACCAAAAAAAAAGCCCAGGACCAGACAGATTCTGGTAGCCGAATTCTACCAGAGGTACAAAGAGGAGCTGGTACCATTCCTTCTAAAACTATTCCAAACAATAGAAAAAGAGGGACTCCTCCCTAATTCATTTTATGAGGCCAGCATCATCCTGATACCAAACCTGGCAGAGCCACAACAACAAAAAAAAAATTTCAGGCCAATATCCGTGATGAACATCAATGCGAAAATCCTCAATAGAATACTGGCAAACTGAATCCAGCAGCACTTTTAAAAGCTTATCCACCATGATCAAGTCGGCTTCATCCCTGGGATGCAGGGCTGGTTCAACATACTCAAATCAATAAACGTAATCCATCACATAAACAGAACCAATGACAACAACCACATGATTACCACAATAGATGCAGAAAAGGCCTTCAACAAAACTCAACACCCCTTCATAATGAAAACAATCAACTAGGTATTGATGGAATGTATCTCAAAATAATAAAAGCTATTTAAGAAAAACCCACAGCCAATATCGTACTGAATGGACAAAATCTGGAAGCAATCCCTTTGAAAACTGGCACAAGACAAAGATGCCCTCTCTCACCACTTCTTTTCAACATAGTGTTGGAAATTCTGGCCAGGGCAATCAGGCAAGAGAAAGAAATAAAAGGTATTCAAATAGGAAGAGAGAAAGTCAAATTATCTCTGTTTGCAGATGACATGATTGTATATTTAGAAAACCCCATTTTCTCAGCCCAAAAACTCCTTAAGCTGATAAGCAACTTCAGCAAAGTCTCAGGATACAAAATCAATGTGCAAAAATCACAAGCATTCCTATACAATAATGGAGAGCCAAACCATGAGTGAACTCCTATTCACAATTGCTACAAAGAGAATAAAATACTTAGGAATACAACTTACAAGAGATGTGAAGGACCTCTTCAAGGAGAACTACAAACCACTGCTCAAGGAAATAAGAGAGGACACAAACAAATGGAAAAACATTCCATGCTCATGGATAGGAAGAATCAATATCGTGAAAATGGCCATACTGCCCAAAGTAATTTATAGATTCAGTGCTATTCCCATCAAGCTACCACTGACTTTCTTCACAGAATTAGAAAAAAACTACTTTAAATTTCATATGGAACCAAAAAGAGCCTGTATAGGCAAGACAGTCCTAAGCAAAAAGAACAAAGCTGGAGGCATCATGCTACCTGACTTCAAACCTTACTACAAGGCTACAATAACCAAAATAGCATGATACTGGTACCAAAACAGATATATAGATCAATGGAACAGAACAGAGACCTCAGAAATAACACCATACATCTACAACCATCTGATCTTTGACAAACCTGACAAAAACAAGCAATGGGGAAAGGATTCCCTATTTAATAAATGGTGTTAGGAAAACTAGCTAGCCATATGCAGAAAACTGAAACTGGACGCCTTTCTTACACTTTATACAAAAATTAACTCAAGATGGATTAAAGATTTAAACGTAACACCTAAAATCATAAAAACCCTAGAAGAAAACCTAGGCAATACCATTCAGGACATAGGCATGGGCAAAGACTTCATGACTAAAACACCAAAAGCAATTGCAACAACAGCCAAAATTGACAAACGGGATCTAATTAAACTAAAGAGCTTCTGCACAGCAAAAGAAACTATCATCAGAGTGAACAGGCAACCTAGAGAATGGAAGAATATTTTTGCAATCTATCCATCTGACAAAGGGCTAATATCCAGAATCTACAAGGAACTTAAATTTACAAGAAAAAAAAACAAAAAACCCCAACAAAAAGTGGGTAAAGGATATGAACAAACACTCTCAAAAGAAGACATTTATGCGGCCAAGAAACATATGGAAAAAAAGCTCATCATCACTGATCGTTAGAGAAATGCAAATCAAAACCACAATGAGATACCCTCTCATGCCAGTTAAAATGGTGATCATTAAAAAGTCAGGAAACAATAGATGCTGGAGAGGATGGGGAGAAAGAGGAACACTTTTACACTGTTGGTGGGAGTGTAAATTAGTTCAACCATTGTGGAAGACAGTGTGGCGATTCCTCAAGAATCTAAACCTAAAAATACCATTTGACCCAGTGATCCCATTACTGGGTATATACCCAAAGGATTATAAATCATTCTTGTATAAAGACACATGAACACATATATTTATTGCAGCACTATTCACAATAGCAAAGACTTGGAATCAACCCAGATGTCCATCAGTGATAGACTTGATAAAGAAAATGTGGCAGATATACACCATGGAATATTATGCAGCCATAAATAAGAATGAGTTCATGTCCTTTGCAGGGACCTGGATGCAAACCTGGCTGGAAACCCTCATTCTCAGCAAACTAACACAAAAACAGAAAACCAAACACCGCATGTTCTCACTCATAAGTGGGAGTTGAACAATGAGAACATCTGGGCACAGGGAGGGGAACATCACACACCAGATCCTGTCAGGGGGTGGGGGGCTGGGAAGGGATAGCATTAGGAGAAGTACCTAATATATAATGGTGGGTTGATGGGTGCAGCAAAACACCATGGCACATGTATACCTATGTAACAAACCTGCACGTTCCACACATGTATCCCAGAACTTAAAGTATAGTAAAAAAAAAAAAAAGAGACATAGAACATCTCTATCACCCCAGAAATTTCCCTTAGGACCCCTTTTAGTCAACCCCCACCATCTATAGGCAAGAACAATTCTGAAAGTTATCACTATAGATTTGATCCAGTCTTGAACTTCATAAATAAGGACTCCTATGAAAGAGAATGTTGTCTTTTGTGTCAAGCTTCTTCTCCAAAACATATTGCTTTTGACCTTCATCTCTATTATTTTATTTCTTTTACTGACTAGTGTCCCATTGTATACAGGGGAATAGGCGTCATTCACTTTGTGATCTCGGGAAAGTTATAGGACTCCCCATTCATTCATTCACTCATTCATTTATTCATTTAACAAGAAATTACTCTCTCCCTCAGTTTTATTTTCCATAAAGATCACAGTGGAAATATCTCCTGTTGTCTAAGCGTTTGTCCAAGATTACAGAGGCAAGTAGTTACAAGGGGATACTCGGAAGTCAGATGGCCACATTTGAGACCTGTTTTCATCCCTCACTGGCTGCATGAGCTTGGACAAAATACTCAACCTCTCTCTGCTTCTGTTCTCTCCTCTGTAAAAGGATTAAATGGGGCTAGGCGCGGTGGCTCATACCTGTAATCCTAGCATTTTGGGAGGCCAAGGTGGGTAGATCACATGAGGTCAGGAGTTCAAAACCAGCCTGGCCAAAAAGGTGAAACCCTGTCCCTACTAAAAAAAAAAAAAAAAAAAAAAAATAGCTGGGTATGGTGGTGAGTGCCTGTAATCCCAGCTACTTGGAAGGCTGAGGCAGGAGAATCACTTGAACCCAGGAGGTGTAGGTTTCAGTAAGCCAAGATCACACCACTGCACTCCAGCCTGGGAAACAGAGTGAGACTCCATCTCAAAAAAAAAAAAAAAAGGATTAAACAAGTTAATGTTTGTAAAGTGCTTAGAAGAGTGGTTGGCACACAGAAAGTGCTAAAAACGTGTTGGCTATTATTACCAACTATGTGACACGCCATGGTGTCCCATCAGCACTCACTAAATCATAGCTGTTGCTATTATATTAGTCTTAAAGACAAGAGGTAAAATGGGTGCACAGGCAGTTACCTGGAGTAGCTTATTGCTATGAGAAAGGAATCTATCAGCAGCCATTATAATAAGTCAACACAGCTTTACCAGAACTAAGGTGGCCACTCATCTCAGGACTTTCCTGGTCAGCATTGAAAATTCCAGGAGCCCTCCCTTAGCCCCAGACAAGCCAGGACAACTGGTCACCCTAATCTGAACCTTACGGTCCTTATCTGTCAAATGTCCATAATATACTACACTGCCCTTCTCACAGGACAGCTGAAGTGACATGTGTAGAAGTGCTCTACCAAGGCAGTGGGGTTTGTTTATTTTTCTGGGTCTATTAGAAAAAGCATACCAAACTTTGAACTCCACTGTGGATTACAACTTTAAATTCAATATCGAGTTTGAGTTGTGGCTTCTCAGCTTGGAAGCTGAGTAACACTGAGCCCTCAGCCCGGCCTCCCCTCTGGGATCCCACTTTCTCACCTGTATAGTAGGGATGGTCACACTTAACCTGTAGGGTTGGGGTGAGGTCCTGTATGAGAAAGCGCTATCTGCATTGAAAAGCACAATACAAATTAAACATCAGTTAAAGTGGTTTGGGGGCCATGAGGGTAGTTGCCTCTATCCAAGAAGGCCACTCCAGAATGTGCTTCTCAGGGCTCTAGTCCTGTTGATCCTGCTGCCCGACTCCAGGCTACCTCTGGACTCATTCATCAGCCCATCAGACTCTCACGCCTGTGTCTGATTTCCTGGTGTCTGACCCTGACCCTGACCCTGGACCCTGATGGGCCCCACAACTGCCTAGGCCCGGGGTAGGCTCCCCGGGGCTCAACCTAGCAGCCCCCTACCCTCTGCTCCACCAAAGCCTGCAGCACAGCAGAGATACAGCTACTGGAATGGCAAGGCCTCAGCGGTAATCAGTGCATGGAAGCCTGAGGTAATGGAATCACCCTGATGCAATTATCTATTGATTGCAAGTATTATGGCAGTCCCTGATTGCTTCTTATTGATACAAATCCACTGGGCTGCCTACTTGGACAAAACCAAGTGAGAATGAGAAGAGACAGAAGAGGAAATAGGAAGAGAGAGTACAAGGGAGGAGATGGGGGAGGAAGGAGCACAGCCTAATTAGTGACAGACAAGTCTGTGGAAGCAGCAGCACCCTGAGGTGGCCACCACCAGGAAGGGGCATGGACAACCCACATGTCAGAGCTAGAAAGGACGTTTGGGAGCGGCAGCTGCCTCTGTCCACAGCCATGGCAGCCAGGCCTGGGAAGAGAACCAAAGGCAACAAAGCAGCAGGATACATGTCCCAACAGGGGTCAAGGGACCATGAGGTCTCACAATGCAGAGGGGTCAGAGGTCAAGGGGCAAAGCTTGCACAATCATGGAAGTCAGAGTGGGCAAATAGGGGAGGTCTGGATGCATCCGAGAGTGAGCAAGGGACAGACCCATCCTATAAGTGACCCCTAGAGGACTTTCCCCAACCTCAAGCAGGGAGTACAAATTATTCTGTTCTCAAGACAAATTACTGAGGTCTTCAATTACACATGTATGTTGATGGGATAAACTTTGGTTTAGCAGAGCAATGGTATCGTCATATGTCCCGAATTCCCTAGAAATCCCCACTCTGCACTCATGAGAGAACAAGAGTGGAAAAGTCAAATAACATCTCACTACTATTGAAATAGTTTTGACCTCATTGACCAGCTGAAATAGTTTTGGACACTAAGAGCTCCTGGACCCCACTTTGAGAACCACTGCCCTAGAGGTATAGCTGTTTTTTCATGTGAAGGGCCTAAGGAGATTTGACTTGGAAACAAAATTCACACCTTGACCTTCAGCCACTAAAGAACAGTATGCACATCTCATCTAGTCTGAACTAATTTTTACTTTTTTCAACTCACAATAAAGGGATATAGAAAGCTCTTTGTACCCTTAGATAAGCCAAAATACATATGTACAGCATACGTGCATGCATGCATACAGTTGGTCTTCATTATTCACCAACTCTGCACACCCTAGAATTGATTCATAATCCTAAAACCAATGCTCAACGCACTACTTGGACATCCACAGAGTGGCAAAAACTTGGAGTTGCTTATATGCATGTTCCCAGTGGAGTTCCAACAAGGTAACAAACACTCTGCCTTCTTGCTTCACCTCCCATACTGCAAACAAGTGTCCTCTTCAATGGTCCATTGAGTGCCACGTCTTTTGTATTTTCTTGCTCTTTGTTGGTGATCTCACTATTTAAAATGGCCCCCAAGTGTAGTGCTCAATAGCTGTCTAGAGTTCCCAAGCACAAGAAGGCTGTGATGTGTCTTATAAAGAAAATATGTGTGTTAGACAGGCTTTAAACAGCTATGAATAATAGTGTTGGCCGTGATTCAATGTTAATGAATCAATGATGCAAATTAAATATAGTATCTTCAAACAGAAACACATAAAACAAGGTCCTGTATTGACTGATTGATGAAAATGTTATGAACAGTGGTTGTCAGGAACCTAACCCTGTATTTCCCCTGGGAACAACGGGTAAGTATTGGCTAATTCAGTGTTCATGGCAACTTTGTAAAACAGAACTATCATGAATAACCAGCACCAACTCTACAAGCAAACATAACAACAAAAGCCCCAGAGCCTCCCTGTCTAGCTCTAGTTTCAAAAATAAAGGAAACCTTGAGCTTTCTTGTAAATTACTGACTCCCTAACAAGAACAGCTGTGCCCTGAATTTTCAAAGCTGAAAGCTGAAGACTTGTCATAAACTTGGGAAACACGATACTCATATGAGAAAACTGTTGTTTGTCCACCAAGGGCAGACTGTCAACTTGATAACCTTGAAAATCTTGTGCTTTGTTTTTTCCCTGTAAATATTTGTAGCGATTTTTATTTGGTGGCCAATCCTTTAAAAACTTTCTCTGCAAGTAAAATTCCTTCTGCTCTACGTGCCTTAAATGGTTTTATCTTTGAGTTTTCCTCAGATTCTAAGTAGCCTGGGAGGAGGTGAGACCATATTAGTGGAAAGTCCACATCAGCGTTGCCCAACTACATTCCAGACAATTCTAAAATGCACGCATCAGTTCATAGGGCCCTGAGGCTGCAGGCTGTTGGATTTTGTCCATGTAGCATCCTAGGAAATGTCTTGCATAGCAGAGAGGCCAGGACCTCGCCCTAGTCGGGGTCCTTGATTGCAAGCAACAGGAACTAACCCAGTTAAATCAAAAAAAAGCAATCATTGTAAAGCTGCTGGGTATCTCACAGAATTGACAAGGCAAATGGGTAGCACCCAAGGAGGTAAGGAGGCCAGACCCCAGCTTCAGCTGCCCAACGGGACAGGTGGTTTAGGATGCTGCCAACACCACTGCTGGCTAGAATATTCCCCAGCCTATGGCTGCCCCCTGCCTCACTGTGCGAATGAAGACGCTGCTGCAGCAGCCACTGCAGTCAATTCCAAACTGTTCCCATTTCTTTGCAGCTCTTACTCCAAATTCTAAGTCCCAAATGGGAACATCCAATTGCCCAGGGTCCTAGGAACACATGTCTAGACTTTTCAGTTTCCATGGGGAAACACTGAGCCTTTCCTCCCACCAAGACTCACCACAGTGGCCTGGAATAAAGCATTGGTACTGCGAATGGGGAAACACAGGTAAATTGAAAAAACTGGAGAAAGAACCGACTTTGTTGGAAGATTGCCTGCATGTGGAGAGTGGTATGGGATCTGGGGTGATTCCAGGGTTTCTGGCTTGAACATCAGGATGTGGGATGGTGACAATACTGAGTCAGGGAACACTGACAGAAGGGAACAGCAAAGAAAACAGCTCACGTTGAACAACTTAAAGTTGAGGTGCCTGTGGCTGTTCAGTGGGAGCTCTGCAAACTCCAAAGCTCTATGCATTTGGAAAGGATTCTGTTGATATTATTGATACTATTGCTATCATTAAATATTAATGAAATTCTCTGGACATAGTGGCTCACACTTATAATCCCAGCACTTTGGGAGGCCAAGGCAAGAGGATTGCTTGAGCCCAGAATTTTGAGACCACCCTGGGCAACATAGCAAGACTCTGTCTCTACAAACAAATTAAAATTACCTGGGTGTGGTGGTGCATGCCAGTGGTCCCAGCTTCTCAGGAGGCTGCAGTGAGCTATGATCAAGCCATTGCACTCCAGCCTAGACAACAGAGCAAGACCGTATCTCAAAAAAAAAAAAAAAATTAATAAAATTGCCTTTCATAAAGAACCAAACACAATTACTCCAATGAACTGGGAAGATAGCATTGACTTTGTCAATAGATAAGAAAGGAAAGTTCCAATTTTTAATCCTTTTTCTTCCTTTGCCTTGGCTGCCAGTCCTGTGGAAGACAGCCAGTCATCGGGGGCAAGGCTGCCCAAGGCAAAATGGTAACCACCAACGACTTTAAAATAGGTAGCTAAGAGCAAATCACACATGTGAATTGGCAACCAAATCTAAAACTGTTGTTATTTTAAGGCCTACAGGCTTTGTCCACATTGGAGACCATCTGGTGACCACAGAGAGAAAACAGCCCGAGCATTTGCTTGGATGGTTCATGGGTCTTAGAAGGCAGAAGTCTCAAGAACTTGCATCCTCCGCAACCACTCTGCAGGTCAACTCAGAGCCTGTCCTGCCCTCACCTCTTATTCTCGAGGCTCTAAGGCTCACATTTGGTGGATCCACGCCAGCAATATGGTGCAATGATAAAGACTGGACCCTTTAACTTCCCAGAATGATTCTGATGCAAATATCATAATACTCAGTCTTCTCAAATCATATACCTGGAGTTCTGACTCAGAAAATATGCTGCCCTAGGCACTGAGAAAACAGTAGAGCAGTCAGGAGACCTGAGATCAAGGTTCTGGTTTCACTACTGTTTGACCTTCGGCACGTTTTTTTAAATTTCTCAAACTGAGCCACGGTTCTCTTATCTGTAAAATGGGGCAAATACACCTACATGTGTTACAGAAAAGCTGTAAGAACCAAATGGGAGTAGAAATGGAGTAAGCGGTAAAGCACTGAATGTGTATTAATTATCTCAGCCAGTGATGGTTCATACCTAAGATCCCTTATCTGGAAAGTATCCTCAAGCTTCCCATAGAATCACTCACTCTGGTAGTAACACTTTTGACAAGAAGTAAATGCAATGGACCTTCTCAGCACAGTTGTCACTGGGGTGAGCTGGGAAGACAGTATGGCAGTATGTGAAACATGAGTGGAAAGTTCCAGAAGAACTAATGCTCTTCATTCACCACTCCCCAAAAAATAGACAGAAGAGTAGGTGGTAAGCGGTGGGGAGGAGGGGAAAATCCGTCAACTCCCTGCCCTAGTCTTTGGAGAAATGATACATCCTTTTTTTCAGAGTTGTTTCCAGGACAAAAGGACTTAGTCATTTAATTGCCTGCAGTTTTTTTCTTTCTTTTAATTCCATTAGTATTGCCTGCAGCCTAACAGTAAGCAGAATGTGTCTTTAATGAAGACAGTAAATAATTTAAAAAAAAAAAAAAAAAAGACAGAAAGAAGTGCTTTGATTTACCGTGGAAGTCCAGTGCTCTCTAAATTCAAGATGTGCCTTTTCAGTTTCCTGCCCACGGTGCCCAGCACCTCCTAGGTGGAGGCGCGTTTCTTGACACCAGGCCATCCGTGATAGACAGGAGGACAGAGGCAACTCCCCAACTTTTAACCCACTTCAAGCCTGGTGGCATTTATTTAGTACCTGCCTCCTACAGGAGGTGCCAAGGCTCATGCCAGCATATGTCCATGAAGGACTTAGCACACAGTAGGCACTCAGTAAAGGGTTGCTTTCTTCCTTCTTGGCATCACATCAACACAAGGGAGCAGGTCTTTCATTGACGTGTGTGCACATTTTCTCCGTGGGCTAAATACTGAACAAATCAGCTTTTTAAAAAATATTACCTCCATTTATTTTGCAAAAGACTTGCTGACAAGACACCCAGCAGCATCTGAAATTGCATCTAGACAAAGAGGCAGGGACAAGGGGAGCCAGGAGCTCTATTTTCTCATTCCAGGCTCCCCATTGCTTTCTTCCGACACCCGCACAGGCACACACATCCCAGCCCATGTGCATCACCGCGATAAGGAGACTTTCAAATGCCGCAATTCATCACCCTGGCCCCGGCTGGAAGCAGAGCGTGTGTGCGAGCGCGTGTATGCGTGCCCGCGTGTCACACTCCTGCTCGCCGTGCACCTGGAGAGCCTTTGTAGCTCATCCGACAATGGAGCAGCAAGCCACAGAGCTTTCAAAGAGGGAGGAAGAGGCAGGGAAGTAAAGAAAGACGCCCACTTGGGCTGCCTCCCTTTGGTTTTGGCTGCAAGATCTGAGCTGGTTAACCAGGTAACAATATGATAAAGGCTGGCAGAAAGGAGCCCAAGCTTCCAGCCTGGAGCCCTGATGCAGAATGAGATAAACATTAATCACTGCAATCCCACATGGGAGCTGGTGTTTTTTCTTAAGGCCTTTTGGTGGGGAATGTAGGAAGTAAACACGGATGTTAGTAATGCTAATCCCACTTCCCAAAGTCTTCAGGGACTTTCATGCTAAACCTTGGCTAGTCAGAGTCAGCCTCACCTGGACACATGTGTGTGCACACATGTACACACACACACACGTTCACAGGCACACACACATGCTCCAGGGCCCCCACCTGGGGTGTTCTCCTAGAGCCCACCACTTCTCTTTTGAGGATTCTTATGAAAATGGGAATTAAATGAATATCCACTTACTGAGACCTACTCTGGGCCAGGCACTTCCATTTGCTTACTTAGTTTAAGCCTCACAAGAGTACTGGGAAGATATTTCAGGTTATGACTCCATTTGCACAGATGCAGAAAACTAAGATGCAGAGAGGTGATGTGGTTTTGGTTTTGATTTTCAGTCAAATTCAGATCTAGATCTTTTTTTTTTTATGCCCAACTACACATGTTCAAAGTGAACAATTTGATGTCTTCACGTACATATACACTGGTAAAACCATCACCATAACCAAGATCATAAATATGTCCATCACCCCAGAAGTTTCCTCAAGGCCTTTTATAATTCTTCTCCTTCCCCTACTCCCAGGATCCCCCACACCATCAGGCCACCACTGACCTTTATGTCACTCTAAGTTAGTTTGCACTTTTATATAGAATATAGAATCATACAGTATGTGTTTCTATAGTTATATAGAATATGGAATCATGCAGTATGTGGCTTCTGTTGGTCAGTATAATTGTCTTGAGATTCATGTGTGTTCTCACATGTTTTCATGTCCCCTTCTATTGCTGAGCGGATTCAATCCCAAGGATATGCCATTCAGTTGTTAGTGAACATCTGTGTTGTTTCCAGTGTGACGCCATTCCAAATAAGGCTTCTAGGAACATTCACATTCAAACTCTTAAACCTTAATAATAAGAGGAAAAAAATCTAAAAATCAGGAAAATATTTGAACAGACACTTCACCCAAAAAGATATACCAATGGCAAATAATCACATGAAAAGATGCTTAACCCCATTTATCACTG
Organism: Homo sapiens; assembly: GCF_000001405.40. Taxonomy (NCBI): domain Eukaryota; kingdom Metazoa; phylum Chordata; class Mammalia; order Primates; family Hominidae; genus Homo; species Homo sapiens. The sequence goes on from NW_017852932.1 coordinate 50,574, forward strand.
GAGAAATTCAGATTAAAACCTCAACAAGATATCCCTCCACAAGTATTAGAGTGACTAACATTTAAAAAGACCAACCATTGCAAGTGTTGGTGAGGATGTGGAGCTATTGGAATGCTTGTCCACTGCTGCTGGGAATATAAAATGACACAGCCACTTTGGAAAACAGTTCAACCATCTCTCAAAAAAGGTAAATATGCATCTATCATATGAACCAGCCACTGCATTTTTAGGTGGTTACCCAAGAGAAATGAAAGCACCTGTGCACACAAATGCCTGCTCATGAATGTTCAGAGCAACTTTATGTTTAATAAGAATCTGTGTTTTTAAAATCAGCCAGGTAATCCTAATAATGAGACAGGTTTTGGAACCACTGGGCTGGACACTCGGTTATATATGATTGCTTGAGAAAAATCCTCTTATTCCTCAGATAGCTATATAAGCAGGGAAGGGGTTAAATTCCAAATTTAGCCTGTCGGGGAAGGAATGTCATTTAATGAATCTATGTAATGTTGGACAAGTCACTTTTTATCTTTTTCGAACTGTATTTTGTACATTTGAACCCTAAGAGGGAGGTTGAGCGATCCCCAGCCTGCAGGATTCTATACTTTGATGATCTCAGAGAACTCCACAATAAACCCACTCGGTGTCCCTAACAGGGTAGCATGAATCCCATTGAACAGTATATGGGCTGTAGTTTTTCTGCCCGTGGGGGCATCTCTCTCTCCGTTCTGCCAGACACCCAGTCACACAATTAGGTATGCACACACATGAGTACATGCACACACACACACACACGCACACCCCACCTTTCAATTTTAAAATGTTAATGTCTCCGAGATTGAGGGTGCCAGAATTGTCATTAAACTATTCCAGACACAAAGGCCCTCTGCTGCTTTGCAGCCCACATGAGGCTGCATTTTGCTTATCTGGATCCCTTTTGTCTGGAATTATTTCTTTCCTTTGAATAACCTGCAAAATGTAAGGCTGGAGACGGAATTGTTGGCCTCCCTTATTTGGAAATGGATTTGTCTTTTGCAGTCAGTACCCATACCTGGGGCAGTTTGGATCAAAAACAGTTTTCAAGTCTTCATTTATTGCTACTTTTTAAAGAATTCCCCCTTTGATCAAGAGCCCGGGGATTCCATGCTTTGCCCCCTCAAAATGCGCTCCCACCCCCCAGATCCCAGTGCTGTTTTTGTTTCTTTTGAAAGCCCTGTTTACTTCGGAAATTCAGCAATTGCTCCCGAAGTTCCTTTGATGTCTATTGAATTTAATACATTTCATTGCATTATGGAGAAGCTATTTCAGCTTTTGGTATCAGCATCTTCTTGATGTGCCGAGGGGTCTTTTTGTTGGATTTTGTGTGTGCGGTTGTTGATTTGCATTGTTGAAATTATTTTTTAAGAATGATTTGAAGGCTTTTTTCTTTTTTTAAAGATTAGCCAAAGGGTGAGGCAAGCGATGAGATTGACACCTCCTAGAAACTAGATTCTCCGCTGAGCCAAGGGAGAGATGACATGAAGAAATATTTCTTTCTGCCTCTCTTTTTTTCCCTAATTCCCTTGCCTCAGCTGTTGCCTCCACAATAAACCCACAAAGGCCATCATTTTGCAACATTGTATCTATCAAAGATCAACTACCTACTATGCCACACCAAGTTTCATGCTAAATATAAAAGTCAAATAGCTCCAAATGTAATTGAGACATGAGATATATTATCTGTCTGTACTCAAATAACATTTCCCTAAAAATTCATGTCCACTTGGAACCTGCAAAGGTGCCCTATTTAAAAATAAGGTTGGCCGGGCCTGGTGGCTCGCACCTGTAATCCCAGCACTTTGGGAGGCCAAGGGGGCGGATCACAATGTCAGGAAATTGAGACCATCCTGGCCAACGTGGTGAAACCCCATCTCTACCAAAAATACAAAAATTAGCTGGGCATGGTGGTGCACGCCTGTAATACCAGCTACTTGGGAGGCTGAGGCAGGAGAATCACTTGAACCAGGGAGTCAGAGGTTGCAGTGAGCCAAGATCGTGCCACTGCCCTCCAGCCTGGGCGACGGAGCAAGACTCCATTGCAAAAAAAAAAAAAAAAAAAAGAAAAAAGAAAAGAAAAGAAAAAAGAAAAAGAAAAAGAAATAAGGTCTTTGAGAGGTAATCAAGTTAAAATGATGTCATCCTGGATTAGGATAAGCCCCTAATCCCATGACTGGTGTCCTTATAAGGAGAGGAACATTTATACAGACATACAAACAGGGAAAAAATCCAAGTGAAGGCAAGGCGTGAGATTAAAGTGATCCTGTCACAATCCAAGGATTGCCAGGGGTCACCAGCTGCCAGCAGAAGCTAGAAGATTCTTCTGTAGAGTCTTCGGAGGAAGGGCAACCTTGCTGACACCTTGATTCCATCTTGTAGCCTCCAGAACTGTAAGAGAATATATTCCTGTTGTTTTAAGCCTTCTAGTGTGTATTAGGTTGGTCCAAAAGTAGCTACAGTTTTTGCCATTAATTTTTTTATGCACCAACCTAATTAGTACTGATTTGTTATGACTGCCCTAGGAAAATTAATGCAATATCCGGTATATCATTAATAACAGAGGCCTATACATATATTATCAGACACATCTAAGAGTCTTCACATATTTAATTTTTATAACCTCATAAAATAGGTACTCTTCTCACCCTGTATTTAGAGTGACCATATGATGTTTCATCCAAAACAAGATATTTTTGAGAGGAAAAGGGAATACCGTTAATAATTATACTAAGAAAACAGGCGTTAACCAAACCGCTGAGGACGTCTGCTTACTCTACGCACTTTACGGAATATGAAACTGAAGTAGAGGCAAGCTCAATCACTTGCCCAAGGACATATAGCTAGTAGGTGGCAGTAACAGGATTTGAACCCAGGCAGTCTGGCTCCAGAATATTTTCCCATAACCACTATTCTACACCATACTCAGTTTGCCCAGCCTTCTGGGAAATAGCCATAACAAGAGCCGCCTGAAAATATGCTTCAGCCACGGCTCTGCCATTAGTACAGGCAGCACAACCACCGCTGGCTCGGGGGTCTAAGATCTAAGAGGAAACAAGAAAATTCTCCAGGACCATAGTTCTATTACACAGAGACATGAGAATAGAAGTTAAAAGTTGTTGACTATGGTTCCAATTCTGCCATTCAGTAAGTAAGGGCTGTCCTAGGGAAAGTCACTTCCCCTCACTTCCTCCTTGCCCTATTCCAGTCTGCTGTCAGCACTTTCAATTTCAGTTCTGCCCAGATGACCCCAACATGTATCAGTGACTCCAAAGATAGGCTCAGCTCAGTATCCCAACAAAAAGAGGCCATTGCAAAGATATTTGCCTGTACATGGGCTGTAGAATTTTTCTGTGGCTACAAACCTAGGTGGCGTGGGTGCTTTGAGAGTGAACTTGGCCTTTGGGTACATTTAGAAGCAGTAGGTGGACAAGTCTCCTTCCTGAATAACAGAAATTGGGGACAGTCTGAACAATGGGCTACATCCTGGGCTCTGCACTAGTACTGAAGTCAGGCCTGGAACCCTGAATTAGGCTAGGGTCCTGATGTCATCACTCCCTCCCTGGGATCCTCTAGAAGCTCTAACCCTGTGTCTCACCCTGCCCTCTCAGACATGACCCCTCAGATGTCAAGGGGCCTGGACCAGGCTTAAGTTTGCTCTGTCTCTGTGAATCTAGTGACTTGGGCCACTGGGGACAGCCTCTCTCTGGGTTAGTTCTGCTTGGCCTCTGCCTGCAGCTGGTCTCAATCACTCTCTCCTCCTCACGGGAGTTTGCAGCATGGCTCATGATCAGGGCTAACCAGCTTTGGACAACCACCACGTCCCCTTGGTCACCACGTCCTGCTGAATCTACCTCCCAAGTGCCTTTAATTTTAGACTTGCATCTCTACTCATGTGAGCAAGTGCTTGCCAGCTGCTCTGTCTGGTTCTGGTCTCTTCCATGCACTGTCTCTTTTCATCTCCTCATAGACTCACCCTTCTTACTGCTACAGGAGGTATTACTTTAAAACACACCTTAGACTACATCATCCCCTATATGTTGTAAACCTTCAGTATACTCCCAGGATAAAGTATTCCCAGTATAGAGACCAAATTCCTACCTGGGACTCAAGGTCTTCACCTCCTGGATGCAAACTGCCTTCTCACCTCCTCTTCTCACCTTCCCAGGCATAGAGTCATCCTGCTTCCCCAGAGAACTTCCCTATGTTCCAGCTCCACCAGAGGAAGCACCACTCCAAATGCTTTTGGGGTAATGCTTCCTCTGATTCACACGCACTTAGCACCTCCCCTTTCTCACTGCCCAGATGGCATCCCCGCCTTGGTTAATTCCACCTCCTTCTCACCCGTTAAGGCACACCTCGAACATTACTCTTGGAGTCAGTCTCTCTAACTCCCTCCTTCCCATACCTAGCTTTTGTCAGAACCAGTTTCTCGCTGCTCAGCAACCCGAGTGCTCTTTGATAAAGCTTGTTCCTGCTCTCCCAAGCTGACTGTAGTACAGTTCCCTCTGTGCTTCTCTGGCTCCCAGAAACTGGGGCTTTCCCATGTTTCATCCCCACAATGCCCAGCTCAACATACAGCACCTATAAGTGCACAGATTGACTTTTGAGCCAGAGCAGAGAACAAACCTCTCACCTGGCTTCCTCCCTTCATGATGGTCCCTCAGTGGTGTACGGGCTATAGGCAGGACCCTGGGAAAGACTCCCAAAAGCCTCGGAAGAAACGCTCTTAGAGGGGAGCTAAGGATGCTATTAAGCTCCAAGATGGAGAAAGAAAGAATAAAAAAGAATGCATTTTGGTTTGTGCATGCCCCCTCCTTTGAAAGCTTTTCCCTGTCAGCCTTGTGGCAGTCTTTGCTGCTGAGTCCTTGTGGGAAGGTTCAGGGTTTTTCTCAATTCCTCCCTCTCTCCAATGCTGCAGCCCTCTTGTGTTTGCTGCAATTTGGCTGCCAAGACTTTTCAAATACACATCATTAATTCTGCTATACAGCCCAAGTGAGCTCAGGCATTTGAAAAAGGAAAGAAACATGGAATTCAAGAGCTGGAGCTGCCACATGCAAAGATCATTGGGGAAAGCAAACCAAAGAGAGCCTTTATTTATTTTTTTGTTTTTCAACAGACACAAGGTCACTGCAAGCAGCAGCCATTAGCCTAATTAGAGCTTTGGAATAAGAGAGGGGAGAGAGCACTCCAGTGTGGGAGAAAGAGGGGAGGGGACAAAGACAGTAATTGAAGCCAATAATGAATATTAAATTCTTATAAGTAATATTTAATTAAGTTATCCTACGATTGAGGCATTTGGCAAATATTACCATGGGATTCAAAGTAGTATATTAAGTACCTAAAAAATCACTAAGCAGAGAACACAGACTGCCTTCTTTTCCTCTAGTCTGCTTAGCTATTTTATCTGTATCAGGGTTCCCTGGGCTGATGGGTAAAGGGAGTTAAAGAAACGTGTGTCCCTGAGCCCACTTCTTGGCCCCCATGCACAGCTTCCACATCACCTCACGTGGGACTGGAGCTTATCACCATATTAAAGTAGAAAACCTCAGCCAAGCACAGTAGTACATTCCTGTAGTCCCAGCTACCCAAGAGGCTGAGATGGGAGGATCCTTTGAGCCTAAGAGTTGGAATCCAGCCTGGGCAACATAGCAAGATTCCTTCTGTTTCCCTGAAGATTCTGTTAAAAGTGGCAAAGACAACCCAGAACTTGAGAAAAGGTGTTTGTAAGCCACATAACCAACTGAGGATAACTTTTTAGAATGTATAAATGTCTATTACTGAAAGAGACAAATGGCTCAATAGAAAAATGGGCAAAAGATATGAACAGGCAATTCACAGAACAAAAAGCTCAAGTTAAAGTATGAAAAACCAGAAAGATCAAGCTCACTAGAAATCAGGAAAAAAAATACACAATCTGAAACGCTACCATTTCATAACCAACAGATGAACAACAACAAAAGATGAATGTCTTATGACACTAAGTGTTGGTGAGAAAAAGGAAGGATAGGAAGGTGGGTATCATACAAATTGGTGCAATCACATTGGAGACCAATCTGCCACTATACAATAAAGCTGCGGATGTACTGTATTAGTTCATTTTTACCCTGCTATAAAGAAATACCCAAGACTGGGTAATTTATGCAGGAAAGAGGTTTAATTGCCTCACAGTTTCACATGGCTGGGGAGGCCTCAGAAAACAAAATCATGGTAGAAGGGGAAGCAGACACCTTCTTCACAAGGTGACAGGAGAGAGAAGACTGTGTAAGAGCACAGGAAAAACTACCATTCATAAAACCATCAGATCTCGTGAGAATTCACCTACTATCATGAGAACAGGATGGGGGAAACCACCCCCATAATCCAGTCACTTCCCACCAGGTCTCCCTCTCCCTAAACACTTGGAGATTACCATTCAAGGTGAGATTTGGGTGGGAACAGAAAGCCAAATTGTATCATGTACACATCCTAGGCTCAAGGAAATCCATTACAAGGTATGTAGCCCGGATTCTTCTAAATGGGCACAAAAATATTTGAGGTAGCATTGTTTGTAGAGCAAAAATTACAAACAACCTGATATTCATCACCAAGAGAACAGAAATATAAATTGCATATTTATACAATGAAAACTTATTTAGCAGCAAAAACAAATCAATGTATCATGTGGATAAATTTTTGAAACCTAATTCTGGCAAATATCAAACACAAAACAAAAAAGAGTAGCAGAATATATACATGATGGTACAATTTATGTAAAATTTTTCAATCTGTAGAACATAATATTTAGAGACACATACATATGTGTAAAAAATAAAATGCATGAGAATGATAAACAACAAACTCAGGCAGAGGTTACCTGGGAAGATGCTGTGGGAAATGGTACACAGAGCAATGCATGGGCATTCTTATATTCATCTGTAAAGCTTTTTCATATCTTAAATATTTCATAACACATTTTTAAAAATTATTAACAGTCATATTTGTTAAACAGATAGAAATATGCCTCAAGAAGATTACAAGTTTCTCAAGGGAAAGAGCGTGAAACAGTCATGAAAGAGAAGATCAGGTTTGATTAGTGGCCAAAATGCAAGGTACAGTTAGGACGCAGCAAAGGAGAGGGATTTTAGGAACCATGAAATGCTCTTATGCTGAAATCTCTACCCAAGAGGGAACCTGAATGTCAAGTGGGTCACTTCCTGCCACAGTAGTGACCCACACCCAATATGAAGGAGCCATCACCAATGCCAGAGCAGGCAGGTTGGCATGGCGACCTACTCATTTGTCCTGAGGAGCAAAAGGACTCGAGGCTAGAGATGGAACCCACAGGCAAAGAATAATCAATTAGATATTTTTTGCCAACTGAATCAAGATACCACTTTCACCCTTCTCCCAATTCTATATTTGTTTAATACATATATCCAAATTCGACTGCCCCAAAATACATAGGTGTTTTCTGAGGGACCACCAAGGCCTCATTGTCTTGCCAGAGCTTAGAAAAACCTCATCATTCTTACTCACAGAGACCCTTACCATTGATCAGAAGAGGAGTGAGAGACACCAAAGCTATCAACAGAAATACCTGAGCCACTTTTAGCTGGATTTAGTCTTGGAGAAGTCTCTTTCAGGAATCACAATAATTAACGTGTATTTTTGTAAAAGACAGCCATGCTTATCACATCTTTAACTAGCCTTCAGATTTACATAGAATAGTATTTTTATCCATAGAGGGACACCTGCGCTCTTGCTTATTTATTGAAAATGGAAATAAATAGACCAGGCAGAAAGTCTAGTAAATTCTGGTATTAGCATAACATGATGTGTGTAAGTCTCTCTCCCTCCAGGCACTAATAACTTCAACTCTATAATTAGAGGATTGCTCCAGACATGGGACAGCCAGCTATAGCCTACAGGCCTTTGGCCTTTTACCTGTTTCTGTACAGGCCTCAAGCACTACAATGGGAGAGTTGGATAGTTGGGAAAGAGACCATACAACCTGCAAAGACTAAAATATTTACTAACTAGCCTGTTGCAGAAAAAGTTTGCCAACCCCTAGTCTAGAGCAGCCCTGTCCAACAGATTAGATACAATGTGAGCCAACTATGGAACATTACATTTTCTGGTAGTTGGCTTAAAAAATAAGCCAGGCACATGCCGGGCACGGTGGCTCACGCCTGTAATCCCAGCACTTTGGGAGGCCAAGACGGGCAGATCACAATGTCAGAAGATCGGGACCATCCTGGCTAACATAGTGAAACCCCGTCTCTACCAAAAAATACAAAAAATTAGCCGGGCGTGGTGGCAGGCGCCTGTAGTCCCAGCTACTCTGGAGGCTGAGGCAGGAGAATGGCATGAACCCAGGAGGCAGAGCTTGCAGTGAGCCGAGAATGCGCCACTGCACTCCACCCTCGGTGACAGAGTGAGACTCTGTCTCAATAAATAAATAAATAAATAAATAAATAAATAAAATAAACCAGGCACAGTGGTCCACACCTGTCATCCTAGCACTTTGGGAGGCTGAGGCAGGCAGATCATCCGAGGTCAGGAGCTCGAGACCACCCTGGCCAACATAGTGCAACCCCGTCTCTACTAAAAATACAAAAAATTAGCTAGGCGTGGTGATGCATGCCCGTAATCCCAGCTACTCAGGAGGCTGAGGTAGGAGAATCACCTGAACCCAGGAGGTGGAGGTTGCAGTGAGCCAAGATTGTGCTATAAAAAGAAAGCAGTAAAATAAATTTTAATGATATATTGCATTTAATCCAATATATCCCAAAAGTACAATTTATAATTAATATAAAGAATTTTAGGAGATATTTTACATTATTGTTTTCATACAAAGTCTTAAAAACTGGATATGTCTCTTACACACTACAGTACATCTCAGTTCAGCTAGCTAGTACATTTCAAGGGCTCGATAGTCACATGAGGCTAATGGCTACTATACTTGACAGCATAGGGCCAGATTATCTCTAAGGTCCTTTTCAGCTTTCGTGTGATTATCTAAAATATGAATAGGTTTAAAAATGTATATATCCATTCTCCAGCATCCAATTAGAGTTCTGGCTCCTTAAAATTTTTCCTGATTCCTCTGGTCCACATCAACCTTTGCTCATGACATTCCAAGAGTAAAGCACCCCATCAAGACATGGATGCCTTTATACCACCCCCTGAGGGCTGAACCCACAAAGGGACCTCGGCCGCTCCCAGCCTACTTCTGTTCACTCGTTCATTGTGGCTTCCCTCTCATTCATTCTGCCCCTGACTTTGCTGTGGGTGTCTCTGCTCTCTCTGGCTCCTCCCCTGCTCTCCTCCTGGAGGTCTCTGTCTTGCATTTTCTCCACCTCCCTGTTGTGGGATATCCTAGGAGTCCTTCAGGAAGCTCATTCCCAGCCCTGGCCAAACGACCAGCACCTCTCAGAAGAGGAGGGACATAAAAAATGGTGTAGCTATAGAAAGGTAAAATGTGAGATGTGGTCTGGGGTTTGAGAGAAAAATAGCCCTCCATATCCGTGGATTCTGCATCCATGGATTCAACCAACTATAGATTGAAAATATATATTTTTTTAATTCCACAAAGTTCCAAAAAGCAAACCTTGACTTTGCCATGCACCAAGTACTACGATGAATCCTCAAGAATGAAGTGATGTGTAGGCATTGCATCAGGTATTATAAGTCATCTAGAAATGACTTAAAGTGTACAGGAGGATATGCTTAGGTTATATGCCAATATCACATCATTTTATATAAAGGACTTGAACATCTGTGGATCTGGGTATCCACAGGGAGTCCTGGAACCAATCCCCCACAGACACTGAGGGGTGACTCTGCTTAATCTGAAAAGGCAATTCAGGAAATTCAGAGTTAAAGGAATAATGAGCTTTTGAGAAGGTATTTTTGGGTGAGAAACAGTAGGATTCCTAGGCACTACCCAAGGAGGGCCACTGGTCATTAACTCAGGGAGAGAGTTGGAAAATGAACCAGAGGCACAAGGATCTGGGGCCCAGGCAAGAGAGGCCTGGCTTCTCTAGAGACCCAGTGGCAGCTGGTGGAACAGCCCCATCTAGGGCCAGGGATGGGACACAGTGATGAGTCATCACTGAGGCCTGAGACCCCAAGCTCAGGGGCCCAAGGAAGGAAACGGCACTGAAAGGAGGAGCTTCCAGGGGATGGCTGGAGGGACTTAACACACTACCGCTGGGTGTCCCCAGAAGGTGCATCTAAGTCGTTCCTACAGCCCCTCTCCTGGGAGAAGCATGTGACGTGAATTAATCATCCTCTGTGCTGGGCTGCGGTGTGCTGGACTGGAGAGGGTGGCGAGATCCTTTTTTTTTTTCTTTTTTTTTTTAAGTAAAATGCATTACTACTATAAAAGTAAGTGCTCATTATAACTTTTTCTAACAGTACATAGAAGTATAACAGAGAAAGAAATTACTTGAAATTTCTCAACCCTAAAATAATGATTTGGTGGCCGAATTCTCTCATACACATCTTTATTTATTGCCACAATATTTAATAGGATCATATCACACAAGCTCAGTTTGGGGAAGATTTACTCTTTCCCTTTCTCCCTCCACCTCTCATATAAGGAAGGTTTTCACTATTTTACAAAAGGATCATTTTTATACACTTCTCTGCACTTTGCTTGTTTCATATTTTGTAGATTTCTCCAAATGAGCAGCTTTGAAATTAATTTATTTTAATGTTTGCCTAATATTTGTGATATGAATGTACTGTAATTTATTCAACTATTCCTATTGATGGATGTTTCCTTTGAGGCAACATTGCATATCTTACCCTTACTCTTTGGTGCTTTTATTTTTGTGAAATAGGTTCCCAGAAGTGGGCCTGCTGGGTAGAAGGGGATATATATTCTTTTTATTTTACAAGCTATTGCCATGCCATTTTCCAAAAAGACTGAAACCATTTACATGTCCTCCAGCAGCGTGTATGAATTCCCTCTGCCCTATATCTCCTCCAACAATAGATATTATTGGTCTTCTTAATGTTTGCTAGTGTGATGGGTAGAAAGTGGTAACTCAATGCTGCTTTAATTTGTATTTTCCAGTGAGCTTGAGCATTTCTTAATGTGTTTATTGGCCATTTAGATTTGCTCCTCTGTGAGCTGCTTATTCATATTTGCCTGTTGTTTTGTTCGGTTATCTTTTTATTAATTTTTAAGAGCTCTTTGTATATTACAGCTATGAATCTCTTATGAACGTAACTATTTTTTCTAAATCTATTGTTAGACTTCATCTTTATTCTTACAACCAAATTGCAACACATTTTCTGGCCGACGAGACAGGGTAAGAAAGGGTAAGAATATGAGATTTGGAAGGGATAGGAGAGCAGAGGAGCTCAATGCTCCAGCTAGATCCTTTCTGGGGATGCTGTCTCAATCTGCTCAGGCTGTCGTAACAGGAAGCCATAGATTGAGCGTCTTAACAGGAATTTATTGTATCATAGTATGCAGACTGTAAGTCCCAGATCAAAGCACCAGCAGGATGAGTTTCTGGTGAGACCTCTCTTCCTGGCTTGCAGACAGCAGCCTTCTCATTGGGTCCTCACCTGGCCTTTCCTCTGTGCTCCTGTGGAGAAGAGAAGACTCTCAGGTGTCTCTTCCTTTTCTGTAAGGACACTGTCCTATTGGATGAGGTCCCAAACTTATAACCTTATTTAACCTCCATTACTTCCCTAAGGGACCTATCTCCAACTACAGTCACATGGGTCTGGGGAGGTTTAGGGCTTCAACATATGGATTTGCAGGGGGACACAACAGAACAATTAACAGGTGGGTTCTACAGAAGTGCATAAACCCAGAGAGGAAGTGACAGTATGGTACAACTGGGCCATATTCATCCTCGCATGAATCTCCACACTCCAGCATGATGGAAGTAGCTGGACGGTTCCCATTCCCCAAAGAACGGCAGAGAAAGCAGAGGAGCCCCTAGGCCTGAAGGGGTCCTGGGCAGGATATCTCAGCAAAATGCCTGTATTCCAATGATCCAGAACTAGGTCAGGGTAATAGACAAGCCTCACTGAACACCTACGAGGATAGATGCCTATAAGGGCTATGAGGATAGATGCCTATAAGGGCAGTGTGAGGCTGCAATCTGATAAATGCAGTCATGTGTTCAAAAGGGATACATTCTAAGATATGCGTCATTGTGCAAACATTGTAGAGCGTCCTTGCACAAACCTAGATGGTACAGCCTACTCCACACCTAGGCTATATGGTAAGCCTGTTGCTCCTAGGTTACAAACCTGAACAACATGTTATTTTACTGATACTGTAGGCAATTGTAACATATGCGTACATTTAGAAAAGGTACAGTAAAAATACAGTATTATGGGAGCATAATATGTGACCAGGGTCATATATGTAGTCTTCTATTGACGTAATCATCTCCTCATTCTACACAGAACTATATATTTTGGTCTTCCACCTGTTTCCTGACACATAGCTCCTAAAGCCCTTGGAATCTCCGAGTGAAACATGCCTTTTTCTATGATAATGGCATGACTGATGGCTGGGGCTCCAGGATAGCTTCAGAATAGAGACTGTGCCAGGGAAACCAACCTTCTGACTAGAGGGTCAGAACTTTCAACCCCATCCCCTGACCTCCCGGGAGGAAGAGGAGCTGAAGGCTGTGTTGATCACCCATGGCCAATGATGTAATCAATCATGATTCTATAAGGAAACCTCCATAAAAACCCAAAAGGATAGGGTTCAGAGAGCTTCTGCATTGGTGAACAGGAACACATCAGCATGCTGGAAGGGTGGTACACCCTAACTCCCTGGGGACAGAAGCCCTGTGCTCAGGACCCTTCTAAACCTCACCATATGTATCCCTTCAACTGGTGGTGCATTTGTATCCTCTAAAATACCCTTTCTCACCATTGACCAACAATAGCAAGTAAACTGTTTACTGGGCTTCTCAGAGCTGCTCTAGCAAATTATTGAACCCAAAAAGGAGGTCATGGGGACCTCCAATTTGTAGCTGAGTCAGACAGAAGTGTGAGTGATCAGGGAACCTATATTGGCATCTGAAATAGGGGGCATTCTTATGGGACTGAGCCCTTAACCTGTGGGGTCTGCACTAACTCTACTTAGCATCACAATTGAGTTGCACTGAATTGTAGGACACCCAGGTGGTGTCAGAGAATTGGTCAGATTAGTCAGTGTGGGGGAAAAGAACCCCACACAGGCCGGGCACGGTGGCTGACGCCTGTAATCCCAGCACTTTGGGAGGCCGAGGTGGGTGGATCACCTGAGGTCAGGAGTTTGAGACCAGCCTGGCCAACCTGGTGAAACCCTGTCTCTACTAAAAATACAAAAATTAGCTGGGCATGGTGGCAAGTGCCTGTAATCTCAGCTACTCAGGAGGCTGAGGCAGAAGAATCACTTGAACCCGGGAGGCAGAGGTTGCAGTGAGCCGAGATCTCACCATTGCACCCCAGCCTGGGTGACAGAGCAAGACTCCATCTCAAACAGACACACACACAAACACACACACACACACACACACACACACACACACACACACACAGTAGACCTAAAGATAAGTTTAGAAAAATAAAAGCAGTCCTTTCTCTGGAACACCTGTCGTAGCTGCTGTTGTGTTCTCCCGTGCCCAGGTTGCTGTGAGTGGCACTGGCAGAGGCCCGGCTGTCAGCTCCAGTGGAGGCTGCCCAGCAGCAGAGCTGCATCACCCATGAATATGCCCCTCCCCAGGGCGCCCTCAACACAGTGACAGAAAAAGGCCTGGCCATCTCAGCCCAAATCAGGACAACTCTGGAGGTCATTTCAGTTCCAGGATGGACCCTGGGGTCTGTTGCGGCAATCAGTAGCTCACATCACACTGCCCTTTCCCCTCTGCCCAACCCCACTTCCTCCCTTGCCCTTCCCCTGGTGTGGACCCCAGGGACCTCTTTAATAACCTATCTGCATCTCAGAGTCTGCTTATCAGGGACCCCTACCTATGACAGCCCTCTCACATGTGCTACAGGCAGCGCATAACCAAGGTGAACTTGCAACAGAATGTGATTCAACAGCATGCGAGACAAAGCAGCCCCTGCCTGGACAGTGCTGGCCCTGATGCAAGGGGTGCAGGTGCCCCCAGAGCACAGGCATTCGGCCTCCACCTCTCCAAGCAAGGCCTCCAAGGAGACACCTCCTAATCTGCATCCACCACCCCTGAGCCACCCAATCTCCTCCAGCAATGGCCTTAATAGGAAATGTAGGCCCCTGCCCCTTCTGCCAAATCTCCCTTGAAGGAACACGTGGCAAATTGCTTCCACGGGCTTATTTAACCTAACCCTCTAATTTATTCCCCATTAAGATGGTTACTTTAATTTAGTTATTTGTGTCTGTCAGGCAAAGAAGGAGAGGCCCTCTTGGCTTCGGGATGCAGTTCTCTGCTCCACCACACCAGTGCCCAGGGCCTTTCCCATGGCAAAGCACCAACACCTGCCCTTATTTAAAAGCTTATCTGTAGCCCAGCAGAAAACAAGGCACGACACATATTTGAGGTTTAACATCTTGATTCTCAGGCTTTATAACACTGGATATTATTGGCAACACCATGAAACAAAGAAACAGAAGCTTCTGCCCACTCCTCCACATGTGACATTAGGAATTCAGTGTAGGACAGTGAAGGACAAATCACTACACCTGAGTTCTGCTATCTTGGTTCTTTCTGTGACCAAACAGGTATGTGACCCTTCACAGTAACTCACCCCTCTAGGACTCAATTTCCTCATCTAAGCATGAGGAGCGTTGAACTTAAAGCCCTAATAGGTCAGGAATGTTGGGTTTTTGTGTTTTTTCTTAGATCAGTGTTTCAGATATTGAGTTATTTTCCAGAATCGACACATTGAAGCTCCTGGCCTACTCAGGTCCCTGGAGAAAGCTGAAGGTGACCAGCTTTTGCTTTCTTCTATTGGATCAGATCCACCCATGTAATTCCTCCCAGACTTTTATTTCCTGGAGTTTTACTTCTGAACATTCCAAAATGTTAATGTTTCTTGGAAGTGAGCACCAAATATTACATCTGGAGCTGTTCTCTCTTAACAGTCTGCCCTCAATCTGAGAAGTTTATCAGTTCTGTTGGAGAGTCCCCACCGTGCCATTAGCATTTGATGTGGATGTCACAATTTGCAAACCTTTTTTATCTTCGGGGAAAGCAGAGGAGGGAAAATGAGCCAGATCCGTTGGTCCCTGGCTCAGAGTTAGAAACTGATCTTATTTGTGAAGTAGGCTTAATTTCATCATTAGAACAAGTGATGCAGATGATGTTCTCAGTGTGAGCTGGTGACAGGCCTGCAGTCATTCCTGCTCTTCCATACACACGGGGGAGAGTGTAGACACTCATACACATGCTACATTTCCCATGCACATGTGCGCACACACCTACCCACCTAATAGAAAATGCTCTCAGTGCAATCATGGACGCAAACTGGAGGGGGAACATTTTTTGCAGGGCCCAAACTGAGAAAAGACTTCACAGCTACCACAGACAAGGCCTAAGGAGACTTAATATGAATCCCCCAGCCATTCCTACAATGCCATAAGGTTGATAAGACATTTCCATATGCACAACATCTTTTGACCATTCACAGCTCAGGGGAGCACACTCTTGCTTCCTGGACAATCCTTTTATACACCTGCCCACCCCTCACCCCGCTGGGCCAATTTCTCCTTCCTAGACAAATCTTCTCTGATAACCCTATCTAAATTAGGCCCCCCCCCACAATTATTTATCTTAGCACTTTATTTGCTTTTTATAGCATTTAATTACATTTTTTGTGTTTTTGCTTATTTACCTATTTATTTTCCATCTCTCCCACTGAATTATAACCTCCTTAAAAGATAGGAATGCAGTCTGTCTTATTCATTCTGGATTACCCAGTATCCAAACAATGTCCAGCACACAGTCAGCACTTCATAAAGCCTTGTTGAATAAACCAACTTGATTTGCTCAAGAATCCTACAGTTAAAGTCATTTTCACAGATGAGGAAATAGGTTCATGGAGGTTAGGTGACCTGCAAATTCCCAAAAAATGCTAAGTAGGAGAGCCAGGATTCTAATTTAATTTTATGCCATTTTCACAACATCAAGCTATATGAGTCCATCTTTGAGCTATGATTTGTCCTTTAAACTCCACAATAGCTCCAAGTCTCAGGAAAAGGAAGGAAAATTTGATGTACACATATATGCACACGTGTGTGTGCGTGCATGCATGCACACACAAACACACGCCTTTCACTTTGCCCCACTCTCCAAGTTTGTTAGCTAGGAAGGACCAGGTAGTGAATTTGACTTTCTCATATACGCTATACTCAAAAATGTGCCTGACTTACAAATGACCATGTAAAAACAAGTACCATTTTCAGGGCCTTGAAGATGATGGGAATATATAAAGGAAATATGATAGAATGTTAGAATTGGAAGAAACATTTTATAGATAGGGAAACTGAGGCCCCATTGAGTGGGAATGATTTTCCCAAGGTCACTTGTAGGAGAACCAGTACTAGAACCCAGGTCTGATTCTTGGTCCAATGCTCATTCCCTAAGATGAATCACAGGAACACAGCAATAAATTACGTCTTGGGCATCCTCTAATGACCAATAATCAACAATGATGGCTTTCTTCATCTGTCCTTTCAGAGCTTGGTCCCAGAACAGTGTGTACTGGGAAAGCCCACTCCAATTTTATGAAGGTATTTCACATGTGAAGTTGGACTTCAGGTGTTTTTGCAAATTATGAAATGTCTCTCTAAAGCTATTGCTTCAAACTCAGTTCTTTTTCTCCATTCTCCCAACTGAGACCCTCACATCCATCCAGTAGGCAACAGAGCAAGGCAGTTTCCGAGCATACCCAACCTTTAAATTGATTAATGTTCTTTTTAATTAAGAAAATATATTAAAAGAATGGCACAGGCACACACACATTCACACATACAGGTTCTAGGAAGACCCTGGTCTAAGATGCAAAGGAAATCTGAATCAACTTGAATGTCCTGTGTCAAAGCATTGGAAGCTAAGAGGAGAATTCCATAAAAGAGGAAGATGATCAGAAAAAGAACTTCAGATAATTTCCTTCAGAAGTGTAGGCAAAGTACACTACCAAGGTAAGGACTGGCTCAGGTAGCTGAAGACCAAAGTCACACTTACCCACACTCAGTAGAGAGGCCTGTTTTAGGTTGGCGTATTAGTCCATTTTCACACTGCACCCACCTGAGCTGGGCGCGATGGCTCACACCTGTAATCCCAGCACTTTGGGAGGCCAAGGTGGGTGGATCACCTGAGATTTGGAGTTCGAGACCAGCCTGACCAACATGGAGAAACCCCGTCTCTACTAAAAATACAGAATTAGCCGGGCGTGGTGGTGCATGCCTGTAATCCCAGCTACACTGGAGGCTGAGGCAGGATAATCGCTTGCACCCAGGAGGCAGAGGTTGCAATGAGCCGAGATCGCACCATTGCACTCCAGCCTGGGCAACAAGAGTGAAACTCCTTCTCAAAAAAATAAAAATAAAAACATACCTAAGACTGGGCAATTTACCAAAAAAAAAAAAAAAAAAAAAAAAAAAAAAAAAAGGTTTTAATGAACTTACAGTTCTATGTGGCTGGGGAGGCCTCACAATCATGGTGGAAGGAAAGGAGGAGCAAGTCACATCTTACATGGATGGCAGCAGGCCAAGAGAGAGCTTGTACAGGGAAACTCCACCTTATAAAACCATCAGACCTCGTGAGACTTACTCACTATCACAAGGACAGCACAGAAAAGACCTGCCTCTATGATTCAATTACCTCCCACCAGGTCCCTCCCACAACACATGGGAATTCAAGATGAGATTTTGGTCGGGACACAGCCAAACCTTGTCAGCTGGATTTGAGATCCATTCCAAGAACAGGCATTACTCAGCTTATGAGGGATCTGCCTGAGCTACTGTGCTGTGCATGAGTGAATCCATTGCTTCTAAGAATATCACAGGCACTCACACATGCACACATGTGCACACACACACACACACCCTGTTCTGTGTCCCTGTTCCCTTATTCATGGTGTCACCTCACATGGAGCAGCCTTTCTACTTAGTGCCCTAGAGGACCTCTTAGAGGTTCAGCTCCTGTGACCTCTTCTCTGGTGTCTTCCCTGCTTCTTCCACCTTTTCCCAGGTCCCCTCCTCTGCTCTGTGATCCTGTAATACTCTGTACCACCACCATCGCTGTGTTGCACAGCATCACACGACAATTATTTGTCTGCATGACTATGAGCTCCTCACAAGGGAGGAAAGTGTTTTGTGTGTCTTTGTGTCTCCAGCACACAGCACGGTGCCAGGTGCTTAGTAGGCACTCAGCAAACAGTTGTTAAATGGTTAAATGAAGGAATTTCCCTGCTGGTACAAGGTAGAGATGCTAAGATTGTCCCACAGTCTCAATCACACAACCAGGCCCTGCTTTATCCTAAATCCAGAAAACATTAACACAACCAGCACACCACCAGAGGGGTTTCATCCCAATAAAATAAAGCTGTACAGTCCAGTTATGTAATAAGAAGAAAAACAGATGGGGGATAAGGACATTCTTACTGTGTTCATTTCCTAGGAAGGCCGTAACAAAGTACCACAAACAAGGTAACTTAAACAGAAATGAATTTTCTCACAGTCCTGGAGGCTGAAATCAAGGTGTTAGCAGAGCTGGTTCCTTCTGAGGGATGTGGGAAAGGACCGGTTCCACGCTCTTGTCCTGGGTTCTGATGGTTGCTGGCAGTATTTGGGGTTCCGTGGCTTATGGATTCATCGTCCCGATCTCTGCCCTCACATGACATTCTGAGTCTTGAGTCTTTTCACATAGTCTTCCCCCTGTGCATGTCTGTCTCTCTGTCCCAATTTCCCCTCTTTACAAGGACGCCAGTCATATTGGTTTAGGATCTACCCTAATGAGTTCATTTTAACTTCATGACCTCTATAAAGACCCCATTTCTAAATAAGGTTGCATTCTGAGGTCGTGACAGCTAGAATTTCAACATATTTTGCAGGGGGACACAATTCAAACCCCGACAGTTTATACTCAAAACTGGCATAACAAACACAGGGATGACTCCAAACATAAATATGTTCATTCGAACCAGGTACAGTGGCTCACGCCTGTAATCCCAGCACTTTCAGAGGCCAAGGCAGGTGGATCACTTGAGCCCAGGAGTTTGAGACCAGCCTTGGCAGCATGGTAAAACCTCGTCTCTACCAAAAATACAAAAATTAGCCAGTCTCATAACCTGGTCTCAAAATAAATAAATAGATTAAATTTTAAAAATTAAATTTAAAAAGTTAAAAATAAAATAAAAAGGCCAGGGACAGTGGCTCATGCCTGTAATCCCAGCACTTTGGGAGGCTGAGGCGGGCGGATCACTTGAGATCAGGAGTTCAATACCAGCCTGGCCAACATGGCGAAACCCTGTCTCTATTAAAAATACAAAAATTAGCCAAGCATGGTGGTGCATGACTGTAGTCCCAACTACTCAGGAGGCTGAGACAAGAGAATCACTTGAACCTGGAAGGTGGAGGTTGTAGTGAGCCGAGATTACACCACTGCACTCCAGCCTGGGTGGCAGAGCAAGACTCTGTCTCAAAAAAAAAAAAAGAAAAAAAAAAGTATGTTCATTGGCCATCCTCTACCTCATCTTCCTCATTGGTAAAATCGTGGGAGAATTTTTGCTGGACCAAATGGAGGATTTGCTGAAGTTTATTTCTGATGTTCTTTCTTCGACCATCTTTCCCCATCTGTGGATTCCTCTGCTACTAGTTCACTGTTCCCTGGTTACTTACAGTGCAATCCTTCCCAGAACACTTGCAGGTTAATTCAGAGTCATAAAGATAGAATAGACTCCAAGATCCAAGGAAGTTTCTCCATTATGGTGGTGTTTCAGACACAGAAGTAAAGAGGGTGTGTGGGGACAGGGTATGAGAGGATCCAGAGGAACTAACCATGAAGTGGCACCTGGAACCTCAAGGGCTGCCACGTGAGGTATGCTCAGCCTGCATAACTGTCCATGGGGTGTGTTAACAGAAACACCCAGTCCCCTTGGAGTGTCAGCTCAGAGCCTGGCCACAGGCAAGAACACTGGCCTGGGGTCTGGACCTGGACTCTGGTCTAGCGTCTCCACTGACCTGCTGTGTGTGGCTAGACCAGTCTCTTTTCCCCTTCTCCTTACACTCAGTATCCCTATCAGTGTAATGGGGGGAAGGGTGGGGTGGGAATGGGATTAGAAGGCTGGTCTCCAGCCTCTTCCCATCCACACATCCTGTGAGCATCTGCAAGGACCCTTCTTGCCAAGAAAAACCATCAACACAACAGCAAACAGGGAGAGAGGACAACCAGCACCAGCCAAGCCTTCATCTGCTCGCTCACTCTAAACAGAAATCACTTACCCTAAACGGCAATCAGTCCTGATGGCCTCCTTTCCAAATGCCTTGTATGACAATGAGTGATTTGTAACAACATCCAATCAAGCGCACCTAACCTTCCTATAATTGCCTGTCCTTTTCAGTGTTCTTAAAAGCTTTCCAGTGGAAAAGAACAGAAGCTTCTCGTCAGAAGCAGATTATTATACAGAGGAGAGAGAACCCCCCCATTCCTTTCCTCCCTTCCAGCCCATCTCTGCACCCTCCCCAGTCTGTACGCCCCCTGCAGAGGAACCAGCATCTGGCTGACATCTCCACAGGCGCAGCAACCACCTGCTGGTATAAATCTCTCAGCTGTTCCATCCCCATCCAGGATCCTTCCCCAGCTCGAGGCAGGCCCAGCAGATTCCTGTCTTTCCTTCCAGGCCAGAAGAGGTAACATTAGTAGCATATTCAGTTCACACCGAACGTCATTATGAAAATCAGCAGAACGGAACACCAGAAAGGTCCAGTGACAGGCCCCGAGGTCACAGGGCAGGTGGGCAGGGCCACAGCTGAACTCCCCTGCAAGTCTGGATCCCCGACAAGTCACACACCCCCACTCCGTGCTCTGAACAAATGGAAAAACGACACTCCTCAGCTGGCCCGGGAGTGGTGCAAGTCCTGGGGGATTTCTCAGCTCCACCAGTCCCCCTCATCGTGGCAGACAAGTGTGAGAGCCAGGAGGAAAGCACACAGCTTAGAGCCCTGGAATCAGAATCCCACCAAATCATCATCGTAAGAGGGACAGAGAATGAACTGTGGAGTTGGAGGTCCCAGGAGTAAAAAGAGGGGCCGAAATTTTCCCAGAGAGAAAATCATAGGGGGACCACGTGCAAAAATCAGTGGCAATGTCATCTTCATCTGGAAAAGGCTAGAGAGAGATCTCACTCTCCCAGACGCACCATGCTCACTCTGAATCCCTTGATTTTTCTTTGAACCTCCTGACTCATTCGACAAATGGTCTATTGAGTCCCCCCTGGGTGAGAAGTCTGTGCTAGACACTGTAAGAGAAGTAGAGGTGCCTGTGCCAAGGGCTTTCCCGGCCCTCGGTCTGATAGGGTGTATGAGGCTTTCTTCAGGTGACTAATGACTGATTGAGAATGATCTATGCTTACAAGAGATGCCGGGCCAGGGGCTCTCACAAGGAGAGACGGATGGCCGCAAGCTGGGAAGGAGGGTGTTTGGAAGCATGGAAGTCAGGGAATGGGGTGTAGGAGGCACCATAGGCACAGCCTGAGCAAAGGCATGTGGCGGGGGCTGGAGGTGGGGGGAGCACAGAGAAACAGAAGGACAGAGACAACAATAAAGAAGTCAATGCCTGTCTCAACACCAAGGCCATTAAGCATCCACGGACCCTCGTTCAGACTTGTGGTCCTGCCACTGCATTGGCATGAAGGGTTCTGCTCTGAGAATGGCAAAAGGGAAAGAAATGCCTCCTCTGAGTCTTTGCAAAATAGCAAATATTTTTCCCACCAGATTAGGCTTCTTTTCCAAGAATATTTTCCAATCCCGCATTCCGAACATCAGGTCCTATTCAATGGGCCCTGGAGGCAAGGTAGCCCAGACCTTCCTAACTAGCCCAGGAGGGAGAGAGAATCTCTAAAGCATCCCTCCTCCACACCTCTCTGCACATAGCTGTTCCCCTGGTTCCACTGCATCCTTCAGCCTGTGGAATGGTGCAGGAACTGCTTTCTCAGCTACTCAGCCTCAAATCTCCCCTCTACCACCAGCCAAATCTTTCTCTTTCTTTAAGGTCCATCTCCTTCAAGAAGTCTTCCCTGCTCACCTGCCAGCCCAGCCCACCCCAGCGCACTCTCATCCCTCCCATCCTGAGCACAATCTAAATGTATGATTTGCACTGCATGTCTGGTGATCAGTGCATTGTAAAGCTATTACCTAGTAACAAAGCTGCTTCATCTCCCCAGTCAGACTGCCCCTATCTGTGGGTAGGGGCTTGTATTCTACCTCCCTGTGCCCTCTCCCCAGTACTTAGCACACTGGTTTGCTTCTGCTCTGAGTTTAAGAAACGTCTGTGAATTAATTGACTGATGAAAGGTGCTAAAGATTGCCAGGAAGGCTGCCTTTTATCCATGGCCCTTGGGACTCATGAGGGAATTCCACTTCCTTCATAACTTATCTCTCATGAAAAGTTTACCATTCAATCCAGTTCCTTTCTAAGCACAGTTCTTCCGCATACTGCCTGCCTCATGCCGATGAGCACCTTCTCTACCAATGGATGTCCATGCTCCAAACTCCTTCCAGGTGTCAGGCCCCTGGTGTCTTTGGAAGAAGACCCTGTAAGAGGGTTGCTGACAGAGGCTGCAGCAGGCCCAGCGTGAGCTTAGTTGCAAACTTGTTGGTACCCTTTGATGTTTTCCCACCACCACCTCTCACATCCATTCTGTCTTGACCTACCTGCTACAGGTGGCCCACACTCCTGTTCTCCTATAATCTTCATTCTCTCTTACAGGGAAATTAGCTAATGAACTTATTTCTGCTGATGTTCACGTCTGCACCTTCTACCCTACTCCCAAGCCCTGTGCAGGCTTTTAATCCCTTAAAAATAGAGGCAGTGCTTTTCTCATTTATACAACCCTAGAACTATGCATCGTTATTGGCGTTATTAGACACCCAGGAAATGAGGAAGGAAGAAAAATAAAGGAATGAGGAAGAAATGAAGAAAGAAGCAAGGAAGGAAGAAAGGAAGAGAGGGAGAAGTGGGGAGGAAAGAGGAGGGTGGAGAGAGAAGTGGCCCCAGGACTCAAATGTTGGACAAGCTCCAAGCAGAAGTCCATCTCTCTACATGACCCAGGGCAGAAGTTGCCCACCTGAACAAGTGTATTATAGTCCATTTTCACAGTGCTATAAAGAACTACCTGTGACTGGGTAATTTATGAAAAAAAGAGATTTAAATAACTCACAGTTCTGCAGGCATTACAGGAAGCATGGTTGGAAGGCCTAAAGAAACTCAGAATCATGGCAGAGGCGAAAAGGAAACAAGCACGTCTTTACCACGGTGGAGCAGGAGACAGGGAGAGCATGAAGGAGAAGTGCCACACACTTTCAAACAGCCAGATCTCGTGAGAACTCACTGTCACGAGAACAGCAAGAGGTAAGTCTGCCCCCATGATTCAATCACCTCCCACTAGGCCTCTCCCCTGACAAGCTGGAGATTACAATCGAAAATGAGATTCGAGTGGGGACACAGAGCCAAACCATATCAAACAGGATCAGTCTCTTTCAGCTTGCCTCTCTGTTTCCCAGTTTCCTCTTCTTCAAAAACAGGGATACGAGTAGTACCTACCTCAAGGAGTGGTTGTAAAGCATAAATAAATGAATGCCTGTAAAGCTCTTTGAGTATCGCCTGATACATGTTAAGCTATCAAGCCGCACAGGCCCCCACCTGTTACCAGATGCAACCTTCTTCCCTTTCTTTGTAGACTCTTCCTCCAGGTGAAACTCGGAAGGAGCAGGTATATGTCTTCCCTACTTGTTAAACTGCCTCCTATTGTGTGTACTTGGCTGCACGATGTATTGGGCACAGCTGTGTATGTGCTTTGTGACTCCTGTCTTAATGACTTCACCAGTAACTGATTGCAAACACAGAACCACAAGAATGCCTGATTTATACCTCTTTGTTTGAAATCAAAGAAGGATTCTGGCTGAGCAAAGTTTCCAGATCACTGAAGCTTATAATTCTAAGCACAGTCTCCTATTGCTCTGACCATTGTTGGTAACTCCATCATAACTGTGACCATCCTGTTGGTGGCAGCTATGGTGTAGTGGAAATGGCACTGGGCCCAAAGCCAAAAGACTTGTGGTGAGTCCCTCTGCATCTTAGCATTGGCACATCCTTAAATCTCTCTAGACCTCACTTTCATTTATAAAACTATGGCGTGCCCATCAATCTCACACTTGTTGATGAATTCAAGGGTGTAACGCCTGCGAACGGGCTTCAGAAACTCTGAAGTGCTTAGTACATGTTGAATGTCAACTTAGAGATGTCCTCAGGGATTGTTGAGCCTAGAAGAGCCATTTGCCCTGATACAAAATAAACCCCGCCCTGCTGTGCTAAGAAGTAGCTTCTCCCAACTTTTCCATTGCTGTTAGCTTTTCTAGTAGTGTGTCTTCCACTCCTAACCCTGTTGCCCTGACAGTCGGCTCTTGGCATCTAGCACCACTGCTTCTAGTCTGTCACACCCTGTTCACCTACACAACTAAGGAAATGAGTGCCTAACTCATTAAACAGTAACCATGATGCTTTCCCTGCAAAGTCAGAGAAATCGGGCACTCCTAGAGCTAAGCTGGGTCCTGGAAAACATCTAGTTAAGTTCCTTTTTTTTTTTTTTTTTGAGACAGAGTCTGGATCACTCTGTCACCCAGGCTGGAGTGCAGTGGCACAATCTTGGCTCACTGCAACCTCTGCCTCCCAGGTTCAAGCTATTGTCCTGCCTCAGCCTCCTGAGTAGCTGGGATTACAGGCACCTGCCGCCATGCCCAGCTAAATTTTGTACTTTTAGTAGAAATGGGGTTTCACTGTGTTGGTCAGGATGGTCTTGAACTCCTGACCTCGTGATCTGCCCGCCTCAGCCTCCCAAAGTGCTGGGATGGCGGGCATGAGCCACTGCGCCTGGCAATCTAGTTCAATTCTTTAAGATGAGGAGTTGGAAGAAGAAATGACTTATCTAAGATTAAACAGGCAGCAGAGCTAGAACTAGAATTTTAATCTCTTGATTTTCAACCCAAGCAGTCCTTCTCCTCTGGTCTGAGAGAGGCTGTGTGGTAAAGGCCAAGGACCTTGTTCTTTCTGTTGCTTTCATATTTACATCCAGGTTTGCAATCAAGATTCACATGGCTATGACTATGCAACACCAGGAATAGTGAGGCCAGAAACTTCTCAAGCAGCCAAAAGAAGGCTGAGCTAAACTCTGAGGATGAATTCATCTAGCTTAGGGAGTCCTGACCAAAAATAGATTCTGAACTATTCAAATCTGAGTTCTGTATCCATCCCATGCATAATGGTTACATGCAAAAGTCCCTGCCTAGACTATATATATATATGTGTGTGTGTGTGTGTTTGTGTGTGTGTGCGTGTGTGTATACCCAAGTTTAAGTCCTTTTAAGAGAACAGGACTTCGTACTAATAGTTGTCCTGTTCATGTTAGGAGGCAAAAGTTCTTGAGTAGTGTCAGCAAAGAGGGGAAACCTCAATGCCTCAGAAGGCCAAGCGTCCTTGCAGGATTGAAAAGGAGAAGACAGAAAGCTGGATTGCTCAAGTTCAAAGCAGAGGATACACCAGGGCTGAGTCAGGGAACAGGCGCAATGGCAACACTGCTCCCGCTTGTGCTTGCAGACAGGCTCTGAGTCACATTCTTCTGCACCCATCCTCCAGGGATATGTGGCCAGCTCCCCTTCCTAGAGGGAAAGGCAGAGAACTTGACTAACCTACCCTAACAGTAACCCCATGACCTCACTGACCCTGCCCAACAGGCCAGAGACATGATCCCAAAGTACTGGTAAGTGAGCACATGATTAGGATGATCAAGATTGTCCTGGTTTTAACAGTGAAAATCAGGCATCCTAAGAAAGCCCTCAGTTCCTAATCTGAACTTCTCTCTTCTTACCTGTTAAATGGGCATAACCCACAGAGCTGACTTTCTCACTGGATTGCTGAGATAAACAGGTAAGGTAAGATATTTGATTATAAGCCCTTTATTTTCTACTTATATTCTACTGTGAAGTGGAAATGAGACCACAAGCAGAGGAAGGAAGGGAGGGAAGGACAGAGGGAGGGAGGGAGGAAGGAAGGGAGGGAGGAAGGAAGGAAGGAAGGAAAAGAAAGGAAAGGAAGGGAGGGAAGGAGGGAAGGGGAAGAAGAACAGGGAATAGAAGGAAGAAGATATAGACAGAGAAGAAAGAGAAAATGTTGGAAGGGAACAGCCCAATGCAGTGAAAAGGGAGGCCTAAGTGACAGACAGAGCACCTTTAGAGCCCACCCCTCTCTCCCCTCCATCTCTTCAAAACCTATGCAGCCTTCAAAGGCCCAGTCTGAGCTAGCCTCCTCCTCCAAGAAGCCCTCCCTGACCACCGTGCCACAAAGGTCTCTTTCTCTCCTTTGGACTCCTGGATAATGTAGGGTCTATGACATGCCATCAGCTCTGAGTCAACTACTTTTCTTTTACTGTAGGTATTTTACATATAAATGTCACTTCTCCCCTTCTAGTTCATACATAACTTGCTATTCCTATCATTCCTGTAGTGCCTTGCTCAGGGAGGGTATTTAGAGGGTCTTATAAATATTTCTAGTTGTCTGAATGAGTAAATGGGGAAAAAATAAGTGGGCTTTGTACAGGAAAGAAATACAAGTGATCTTTAATTCCCTCTGAAGCATGCCTGCAATTGGGTGTTGCCTACCTGGCTTCACAAAGAGGAGATGAGATGTACCAGGTCTGGGGTTCTGGAAACTTGGGATCTAGCCAAGCTCCTCCACTTCCCCAGCTCGGTGACTTTGGTCAGGCCATGTCCTCCCCTTCCCTGAGACCTCAATTCTCTCCCCTGTAAAATATCAGAGGTGACTCGATCCTCACTTCTCCATGTGTGGTCTGTGGACCGGCAGCATCATCCAGCTGGGTGCACTTTAGAAATGACAACCATAAGCTCCACCCCACACCTGCCAATCAGGAGCTGCACATGGCCCCCAAGTGGCTCATAGGTTCCTCGTAGCTTGAGGAGCACTGAGTTCTCTGATGGCTCTGCATGCACCATTTTCCAGCCTCTTCTTGTCCCATCCTCAAGGACAGGCACAAGAGCCCCCAGAGACCCTGCAGGGACTCATGAGCTGCCTGGACTTCCCAGACCTTTCAGGGCAGTAGATCCGTTATCTGAAGCCTTTCTCTTGCCTCTCCTGATGGGGGTGAGGTCGCTACTCACAGGAAGTTTTCAGGATGAGAAAAGAGAAATTATTTCCCTCTACCATGAAGAAAGCCATTACCAAAGCATTCAGCTAAGAAGGAAGAGGAGTTGACCAGTGCACAAACCTGATAAGCATCTCCTCGCTTCTCAGACTTTTTCCACTCCTTACACACAACTCTTAATCTAGGAAAATGACTCGGCTTTCAAGTGTGTTTAATCATCTCCCTGGGACCTTGCTAGGGAGTGCATGGGTGGGACGCCTTCGAAGGATTCAGAGTTCAGAGCCACTGGGACCTCAAAGGTTTCTCGAGCCCTGTTGGGTACCAGGCTGGAGTTGGAGCAGGGCCTCATGTGTTAATGAGAGGAGCAGGGCTGAGGCGTTAATGAGAGGAGAAACTCAGCAGCCAAACTCCTCACCGGCTGCCTTTTTGAAAGCCCCCAGGGAGAAAATCATAATAAAGCCTTCATCACCGCTGGGTTAGCACCTTCATGTTATGAGATGTTCCCAGATAACTGAAGTTCACCTTTGTAGATCCCAAATTCATTTCATTTTCACTGAGTAGACCTTTTCCTAAATAGGATGACACCATTTTCTGAAGCTGAATATAGAGTGCAAATTAATTTTGAGGGAGTTGTTCATGCACATCACCATGATGGAAGCCCCGTGAGGACAGGAAATTTTGTCTCTGCTCCCTGCTGTGTCCCCAGTGCCTAGAACAAAGGGCCTGCAAGATGCTCACTCAACCTAAGGGAAACATTTTGCTATGCCAGGCACGTCCAGCTCTGGAGATAGGGGGAGGAGTAGATGAAATTTCTCTCCTCCCAGGCAGAGCTCAAGGGCCAGACAGGGAATGTTGGAATGTCAGGTTCCAGCCACTGATAATTGTGAGTCCTGCTGACTTTGCAACCCAGGCTGCACCTACTCTAGGGAGGCTGTTTTTGTTTTTATTTTTTAGAGATAGGCTCTTGCTCTGTCACCCAGGCTAGAGTTTAGTGGTGTGAACGTAGCTCACTGCAGCTTCTACCTCCTCGGCCAAAGCCACCCTCCTTCCTCAGCCTCCTGAGTAGCTGGGACTATGGTCGCATGCAACCATGCCTGGCTAATTTTATTCATTTTTTGTAGAGATGGGGTCTCACTGTGTTGCCCAGCCTGGTCTTGAACTCCTGGCCTCAAATAATACTCCTGCCTCTGCCTCCCAAATTGCTGGAATTACAGGCATGAGCCACTGCACCCAGCCTGGAGGTTTTTAAGCCATGGTGTCAGTGTTTTTAAAACTAGCTTTCCTTGGCCAGGTGCAGTGGCTCACACCTGTAATCCCAGCACTTTGGGAGGCTGAGGCGGGCAGATCACGAGGTCATGAGATTGACACCATCTTGGCTGACACAGTGAAACCCCATCTCTACTAAAAATACAAAACAAAATTAGCCGGGCATGGTGGTGGTCGCCTGTAGTCCCAGCTGCTTGGGAGGCTGAGGCAGGAGAATGGTGTGAACCTGGGAGGCGGAGCTTGCAGTGAGCCGAGATTGCGCCACTGCACTCCAGCCTGAGTGACAGAGCGAGGCTCCGTCTTAAAAAAAAGCTACCTTTCCTTTCTTTCTGTTAGGCTCTCAGTGGTCTCTTAAACTTGCATGGAATTATAAACAGGAGGGAAAGTTAGAACTCATTCTCAAGAAGAGAATGTGCTTGTGTCACAGGTGCCCCCGCCTGCAGTCTTTGCCATGGAAGTCAGCACCTCTCAGCCAGGACAAGCTACTCCCCCAGTAGCCTCTTCCCATCTCAGGCTGTCACTCCAATTGGAGGGCATTGGCCTAAGAAGCATTTCATAACCTTGATATAGTACAAGCCACACATTTCCAGAGCGAGGAAACTGAGCTCCAGAGATGAGCTGATTTCCTAAGGTCAAGCAGTTAGGGTAACCAAGAAGACCAGGTCTTCTTATGCTCAGCATGGGGCTCTCTGCTCCTATCAGCTGTGGGCCTCCTTCTCATGTTCTACCACACACACACTTCTGATTTCCTACTAGCTGGAAGAAAAAATATAAACAGATAAATGAGCTTGTTAAAACTATTTCTAGAGTGAAAATACATAGGCACTCTTCCTATTTGCTCAACATCATATGTCCTTAGGGAACGGCAAATTAAAACAAGATACCACTGCACATCTATTAGAATGGCTAAAATCCAAAACACTGACAACACCAAATGCTGGGGAGGATATAGAGCAACAGGAACTCTCACTCATTGCTGGTGGGGACGCAAAATGGCAAAGCCACTTTAGAAGACAGTTTGGCAGTTTCCTACAAAACTAAATATACTCTTACCATATGATCCAGCAATCACGCTCCCTGGTATTTACTCAATTGAGTTGAAAACTTAGGTCTACGCAAAAACCTGGACGGGAATGTTTATGACAGCTTTATTCATAATTGCCAAAACTTGGAAGCAACTAAGATGTCCTTCAGTAGGTGAATGGATAAACAGACTGCGGTATATGCATACAATGCCATACTATTTAGCAATATAAAGAAATGAACTGTCAAGCCAGGAAAAGACATGGAGAAACCTTAAATATGTATTACTATGTGCAAAAAGTCAGTTTGAAAAGGCTACATACTGTATGAATCAGACTATATGACTTCCTGGAAAAAAAAGACAAATTATAGAGACAGTAAAAAGATTAGTGGTTGCTGAGAGTTTGTGGGGAGGGGAGAAAGGGATGAATTGGTGGAGCACAGAGGATTTTTAAGACAATGAAATTATTCTATATAACACTGGAATGGTGGATACAGGATATATATATCCTATATAACACTGGAATGGTGGATACAGGATATATATATTCTATGTAACACTGGAATGGTGGATACAGGATAATTACACTGTGTAATTATACAACACAAAGACTGTTCCCATACTATAATATAAACCATGGATTTCAGTTCATAACAATGTATCGATATTGCCTCATCGACTGTAACAAATGTGCCACACCCATGCAGGATGTGAATAGGGGAAACTGAGTGAAGGGGAGAGGAAATATATGGGAACTCATTGTACTTTCTGATCAATTTGTCTTTAAACCTACAACTGCTCTAAAAAATTAAGACTCCTAATTAAAAAAAAAAAACAATCTATGCCTACAGTGAAAATACACAGGCACTGTTCTATTTGTAAAATGCATGAGCGTTAGTGTCTGAATCGGTGACACCCAACGGAGGAGCAGGGAGATTGGTCGTGCTGTCTAACATCACACAACAGGTCAGGATTCCAGCTATAACTTGAACACGCCTCTTAATTCTCACATTTGCAGAACTTACGCTAAGCCACCTTGATACAGAATCAAGAACCCTCAACCTGAGGTCATTCAGGCCTGGGTGCTGCCTCCAAAGGGCACCTTGAATGTCCCTTCCACCACATTAGTCCCTTCCACCACATTAGTCAGCAGGACAGACTCCCTCGTTTCCCCAAGGAAGGTCTCTCAAGAGCTTGTAATTGACAGAAGCAACTCCTGATGCCTGATCTGGGTCCCTTCCTGCAGGGATTCTCGCCCTTGCTCTCCTCACTTGATCCTTACTGGAACTTTGATAAATAACTATGGGTTGTTCCACATCGAAACCCAACCTGCAGAGGAGGATTGGGAGCCAGACCTCCACGGCAGAAGCCGTCGCAGGCTGCGCTGCAGCCGCTGGGCTGACGGATCGACAGCAGTCATGTGCAGGCACGAACATAAACGCCTCATCATCTCACTAAAGCCCTCTTTATTCACCCTGTATTTTTCCACACATTTCATTTCCCATCATGGCTGATTGCCTAAAGCATTCATGTGAAAATAGCAGATTTTTGCCTATGTTTGTTACTCCCCATCTCCTCCCAATAATGCAGTTTATTGGATTCTCAGAAATGCCATAAACACTTGGCATGTCCAAGGTGAAGAAACAAAGAGAAAAAGAAATAAAATAGCAGTGATACTATCATGGAAAGGGGCTGGGGCCTGGCGTTGGCTGGGAGCACTGAAGTCAAAGGTATCATGACTTGCTAGAAGGTCCCTTGGTGATGACCTCATTTTATAAATAGGGAAACTGGGGCCCAGAGAGGTGAATTCCCCCCAAGGTTTGTATGTGGAGGATGATGACTGGTGGATGTTCCTGATGGGATTTCTTTCTCATCAGGCCCAAAAATGCATGAAGAAGAGTTCTGAACAAAGTGTCATGGAGTGGTAACAATAGCTCACTGATCTATTTTTTTCATTGGGATCTTTTTGCATCCTCTCTTCTGGCTTTTACCCACAGAGTAAAATCTCATGGACCAGTAAGATGAGAGGTAGAATGTGAAGAAAAAGGGACAGGAATCAGCATATCTTGAGCTTCATGCCCAGCCACGGGCTAGAAACATTACATGTGTTAATTCAAGTTCCTGCAATCATCATATAAAAATCTTTCTAGAAAGAACTCCAGACTCGCAAAGCAGGAGACCCTAGGAAAGAGATATCATAGTAGACAATATTGACTGAGGGCTTATTATTTCTAGGCACCAGTTAGGCACTTATTTGTTCATTTAAATCTCACACGGACCCCATGAGGCTGGTATATGGTCATTCTCCCACTTGACAGATGAGAAAGCTGAGGCAGCTGGACATAGGACCTTTCTTAGGGTTTCAAACCACCTTGATACTAAAGCAAGGACCCTCAACCTGAAGTCATTCAGGCCTCGGTGCTGCCTCCAAATGGCATCTTAAATGTCCCTTTATGGTTTCCATGAAGCCCCTGGTTGGGCTTCATTCCATAAGCCTTGCTCCAGGGCTGAGGTGCTGTGTGCCTCTCTCTCTCTAGAAATGTCCATTCACCTCCATCTGGGCAGTGGCACAGACCCCTTTCAGTGCCAGAACCCATATGAGTTATTTTGAAGGGTTTTTTTTAATACCTCATGTCATGTGATCCTCACCACACCCCTGCAAAGTGGGCAGAGCAAAGACAATGATCCCCATTTAACAAAGTGAAGAACCAAAGTTCAGAAAAGTGAAATGGAGAGTCCCAGATCTCACAGCTGGTAAGTGGCCAAGCACAGGTGTGTGCCCCAGTGGCTTAACTTCATGGCTGTTTATACCATGCCACCATGACCCCAGACCCCCCTGTGCCCAGGAGAACACTCCGAGTCTATCAGCAACCCTACGGAGATGCCGAGTGGAAAGGTGATGGAAGACGGGGAAGGGGGTTATGACAAGCAGCCACTCCCACCTCCGATTTCATTTTTATTTTCTCAGCGTTTGTTTGAAGAGGACATTTCCTGGTTGACTTCACTGGGGCTGGTTTTGGGGGGACTTTGGAAGAAAGAAGCCCAACCATCCTCTCCCCAGGCTTCCCTTTCCTTTCTTTCTTCTCTCATCTTCTGGAGACCCCGCCTCTTTGCTTCCTTCACAGCCACACGGCTTTTAAACAACCCCTGTCAGCCTGATGTGTTGGTAATTTTGCAGTCTGGGTGACATTTAAATGCACGGTCCTGGAAGAAATCACATGGATTTGGATACACCAGAACACTAAATTTAACCAACCCAGAGGTCCCTGGGGGAGTCGGGGAGGAGGAAGGAGAAGGAAGAGTTCATCCTGGGAACCAGTTCTGCAAAACGCAGGTGCTGGGCCACCCCTGGCCTGCCCTTCTCTGCTATCAGGAAGTGGTAAACGGAGCTCCAATCAGCCCACATTCACCTCGCACTATTGTCAGGTGGTTGCTCTGAAAGGCCCTAATCATTTCCCCTATTATCTGGTTTAATACAAAGCAGTGCAAAGCACTGTCAAAGCTGCATCTCTCTCAGCAGAGAACCCTGAGGTATGTTGATATGTGTGTGTGCAGACATGTGAATTCACACACACCACCCCCACACATACACACACTCACACAGGTTAAGAGGGGATGTGGCAAAGGGAGGGACACAGAACACAACCACCCCATCCCATCTCTAATCTTCCCTCTAGAATGCGAGTAGTGAGGAAGGTGCCTTGACTGTCAACCCCCCCAGCTCCCCAAACAGGCAGCTACTCTGAGACCCTGCGCTGAAAATGGATGACCAGTGTGTCCTCGTGCCAATTCAGGGAACATGTGTGGCTTAATCATGTTTGAATTCAGAATCACCAGGATTTTTCTCCTTGCCTCAGTTTCTCTTTTTGGCCATCAGATCTTAAGCAATGACACAGTAACTCAGGTTCACTACTTTCCTCCATTCAAGGGTCTCTTGGAAATTAAGCAGAACCCTTTGAAAATAAAGAAAGGTTAGACCTGCCCATAAAATTTGGGAAAGTAAATAAATGATCTACGAAAATGTCCTTTTCATGTGGAAATGCTAAAGCCCTTATAAAATGTCACACCCTGGGTGATGTTATTGCTCAATAAGATGCAAGGCAGGGGCCAGATGTAGCAGAGTGAAACAAATTATTGTCTTAACAGCTGGAACCAGGATGCCTCTTAGAGAAGGAACAGTCTTTGCTTAGAAAAATACTTCTTGAAAGACACGGTGTGATAGATGGATTGTAGTAGCACCCTCGGCGTTTCACGGCGGTTGCCTCCATGCCCTTGGGTAGTGCCTCCCACACTGACTCTGGGCTGAGCCACACAACCTGCCCATGTGAAGGGGATGACAGCAAAGTTGATGCAAACAGAGGTCTGAAAAAGACGCTTGCATGTTTCCGCTCTCTTCAATCCTGCCCCACCCAGAACATAACTGGAGAGGTACAGGAGACCCCGGCAGAGGCTAGTACCCTTCTGGAGAGATATGGAAGACCCATGGCAGGAGGTGGGTCCTACCGCTCAAGGCCATCCCAGACCAGCTGTAGGGTAAACACACCTGACACCAATAACTTCAGCATACCCTTGGAATGACCCTGTATGGCAGACGCACCTGAATACGTGTTTCGAGCTAGGGAATCCAGACCCAGCCAACCTGGAGATGCATTCCTTGTCTATGAGGAATATTTACTAAGCTCCTGGCCCTTCCTGTGGAACATGGGCCAGACAGGGGATTGAGGCCCTGAATTTTGGGTTAAATGAAGGGTGCCAGGTAGAGGTCATTAGGGGGAGGGTATTAAGTGAAAATGCTACATAAACCACATGCCGTTTGCAAGAGCTTGTCGTTTTCCTACACAGCCCACCCACCAGGGAGCCATATGTTTTTCCTGCCCCATCTGCCACTGCTACGCCATGCAATTACCTTTTCTAGCCCACCGCCACTGGGCTTTCTCCCCTGTATGTAAGCCCCTAATAAAACCCCAAGTCTCCTCACACCTGTAATCCCAGCAGTTTGGGAGGCTGAGCCAGGGAGATCCCTTGAGGTCAGGAGCTCAAGACCAGCCTGGCCAACATGGTGAAACCTCATCTCTACAAAAAATATAAAAATTGGCTTGGCATGGTGGTGCATGCCTGTAATCCCAGCTACTTGGGAGACTGAGGCAGGAGAATTGATTGAACCCAGGATGCAAAAGTTGCAGTGAGCTGAGATCGTGCCACTGCACTCCAGCCTGGGTGACAGAGCAAGACTCCAAAAAAAAAGAAAAAGAAAAACGTCTCATCTTGTTGCTGGTTCTGGGTCTCTTCTTCCAGCTCTGGAGCCTGGTGCCTTTCCTCCTGAGGTTAACAGGGGATCCGCACTATACCAGGCACCCCCACAAACATCCACCAGTCAACAACCTGAGCATAAACAAGCCCAGCCAAGATCAGCTGAGTCTAGCCACAATCAGCAGGCCCATTCCACTGAAGCACAGACTCATCCAAAATAATAAATGACTATTGCTTAAGACACAGAATTTTGGCATGATTTGTTACATGGCAACAGTCAGTTAACACACATGACCTGGGAGGGCACTGGCTAATAGGAATCAGGAAACTAAAGGGGTCACTAAGCTGCAAGGAACAAGAGTTAGGAATAGAAGAGGAGAAAGTAGAGAAGGAAAGAAGAGGGGAAGGTCTAGAGCAATGGCAGAAGGAATAAGCATTCACAATCGCTCATATGCAATGCTAATTGTTTGTGTTACTTAATATATCCATCCTTTATTCAGTGAAGTCTGCCTCATACATAAAGACCTTGTGGGTATGAGTGAAGGAGTGTGTTTATAAATCATAGCAGGAGGATGAGTTCCACATCTGAGTCAACGCAGAATGCAACAGAGACAGTGAGAAGATCTGTAACTAATTTGGTGGCAGCACAAGCTCAGAAGTGAAAGGGTTCATGAAGACGTAAGTCCTTCTGGAGCTTACAGAGGAAAGCATCGGGCTCTCCCCAAAATATGGACCTCCATGGCATGGAGTTCATGTCAACCTCTCCTAGACCTTAAAGGCTGGATGTTCCAGCTGACACCCAGGCCACGTGCCCAACGCACGCTCTTAGGACTCGTATTTTTGTGAGCTCCGTGCTAGGTAGCATGAGATTTAGGAAGTACCAGGCCTGCATTCTCACTTATCCTAGCTCATCCTCCCGATGAGTTCAAAAAGTCAGCAGCATTTATGAAGTATACACATACACATACTCACACACTCACACACTAAGTACACACATGCCTTTCCTAAGCTTTCTGGAAGTCTCCCAAACAAAAGGGAATTTATCATAAAACTAGTGAAACTTAAGCTTCAGAGATCCTCACTACCCCTTCCAAGTCCAGTATCCAATTTCATATGCACAACGTATTTTTTTTTCCTTCAAAGATCATGCAAGTTTGAAGCTCCATAAAGCCTGGATCCACCCCTTCTCTAAAAGGTCCAGTCAAACATCTGGCTCCCAAACCAAATTACTCTCACTTGGAACCACATGGTGGCACAGTGGGCTTGGCTTGGGAGGGGCACCCTGCCCTGCCCAGCCATCAGGAGCAGGGCACACAGACCCCTACCCCATGCCCCACATGTCTGCCAACATGTGAAGTCATTCTCCATTTCCATCCACAAGACCTCTTAAACATCCCCATCCACAGGCGGGTGGAAGCAGATAGGGTCCTAGAACATTCAAAGATGCCGGAAAACCATGGGTCATGTTTCCTTTCCCTTTCCCTTCCTTTCCTACCCTCCTCTCTCCTTTCTTTTTACTACCCAATACCTTCTCTCGGGACCATCTCATTCACTCACGTGGCTTCAAGCATATCTTCCCACAGACACCTAAATCTCAACACATCCACAACTGAGGCATTTCTGCAAATATCTAAACATGCCCCTGAATCCCCTCTCCCAGAGAACACACAAGTCAGCACCAGGCACCCCGTCCACAGGCCTGGAGTGATACACTTCTTCCTCCATCCCCTGCCCCCACGTTCCACCAGTGACAAAGCTTTTCTGTTTTCTGTTCAAAGCACTCCTGCAGCCCATTCCCTCCAGTCCACTCTATGACCACCTCTGTTCAGGCCTCCATTGTGTCTCCCCTGGGCCATTGTCCCTAGATATGTCCCCCTGACTCCAGTGTCACCCTCTCCCTCAGTCATCCTCCACACTGAGCCAGGGGGCTTACCCTGAAATGAAATGTTACTCCATCCTACTATAAGCAAAATTATTCAGCAGTCCTCCACCAACAACCAACATCCAAGCTCCTTTACTTGACATCAGAGGTCTTTCGTGACCCACGCCACCGTGACTACACCACCATCCCCTTCCCAGATGCTGGTATCTACAGCCTCTCATATCCCCCCTCACATCCCTCTGGCTCCCTGGCCTCCAAGCTATCTTGCTGTATACCTCCTCTTCTTGAGGGGCCCTGTGCCCCACCTCTATTTCCATTCCATCCATCAAGCAAACACTTGCCCATCCTTCAAGGCCCAACTCAAGCTCAGCCCCCTCTATGCAGTCTTATCTGATGCCCATCCACACCTCCCTTCCCCAAGTGGACTAATCACTCCCTCCTTCGAGCTCCGGTTTTACCTAGTACCACTGTCATTATTGCATCTGGTATTCAATACGAGTTATGTAAATTACACATCTTCTGGGGTCACCTGAGTCCCTTTAAGATTGGCTTGGGCCCCAGTTCTTGGCCAGTGGAAATCTCAAGCCCACTTTTGGATTTTTATGACTTCCTGGGAAGCTGCATTCTCCTAGTCACCAATGATTCTGGGCTTTTTACCTTTATTGCCCTAAGTGAAAGACTGCATGTAAATAAATAAATATTCACACAAAGCACCGATGAGTATTGTGGATTATTCTTTAAACGTCTTTCAGTTATCCACACCTGGAACGTTTTATTACATCTTCACCCCAGAATCTTCAACCCAAAGATTAACACTCATTCATTGGCTTCCATTTCTACCCTCTCCCCACCTTCTCCCTTTTCTTGTTCCCATCCCCCTC
This sequence comes from Homo sapiens, assembly GCF_000001405.40. Taxonomy (NCBI): domain Eukaryota; kingdom Metazoa; phylum Chordata; class Mammalia; order Primates; family Hominidae; genus Homo; species Homo sapiens. Next base: position 88,273 of record NW_017852932.1, read on the forward strand.
ACACCCACCGAGATTTCCACCAAGAGCCCCAAATTCTTCACTTCTCATTGTGCAGATCACTTCCTCATCCTAGGTCTGACAGCCAAACTCACTGTAGAATCACATCAATACAAAAAAAAAAAAAAAAAAAAAAAAAAAAAAAACCCACCAAAGGTCATCACTTCCTTAGATCAAAGTGGTGGCTGTAAAAATAAAAAAAAAATTTCCTCTCACACTGTCCATCTCCCCCACAGACTCTGCCCTCTTGAGAGCACAGTGAGGTCTTATTCACCTTTCTATCCTCCCTGTGTAGCACAGTGGCTGGCATGTAAAATGCATGCAAAAAATATTTGTTGAATTAATCAATGAACGAATTCACACATGACTCCACATGCCAGCCCACCCCTTACGCTCTGGTTGCCTGAACCAGAAGCGAAATGGTCTAAGCAGAGAGCGGAAGTCTGGGGAAAGATGGGTTTGAGATAGGAGGGACTTCACGGGGAGGAACACTTTTCCTCCCTTCATCTTCATGAACCACAATTTCCCCTCTTGAAAACCAGTCTCTCTCCCATCAAATGATCACCTCAGCCACCTTCAGTTGTGGTTCAGCATATTTCTGCATGAAATAAATGTTATTTTCTGGTGCACCCAGGTTTCATTAGTCTTCCTGTCAGGGAAAATCAAAGCAAGAGGGGAGAGGCGCCTGGCAGAAAGTGGCTTCTTGCTTACGCCAGGAGGAAAAGGATAATGTTGCCCATGGAAAGAGAGGGAGGAAGAGAGAGAGAGATGGAAAACTAACTTCCTCATTTAATCAAGTTGAAACACGGATTATATGGGTTGAAAAACAGTTACCTTGTTCTCGCACCGGTCTCTTGCTCTGTCCGGGGCTATAAAACCCTTTGCGATTTTATCTTTTCATAAACTTTTATTGAATCTGATGTTCAAGGGGCCATGGAGGATCATCCAATTAAATTCCCCCCTCTAATCCTACTCTTAAACTCCAGCACTAAACTGATGGGAGATTAAAAGCTAATAAAGATGACAAATGAGAGGTGATCAGCAGGTTGATAAGGGATATAGAGTCGGATGGGGATTTGCCAGAGGGGAGTGAGGCCCGATTCTGCAAAACACAGGGGTGGACAGAGCTTTCCTCGTGGCAAATTCGAAGAATTCTGAACAGATGCAATATGGATGCCCATGACAAGGTCCTGCTCAGTGATGCTGCAATCTTGGGGTTAAGACAGGCTGCCCAGGGCAGGGTTATATAGCAGGAAGATGGCTGGAAGTGGCACAGAATTACTACGGTTGAAATAACAATACTGCTCATGCTAGCCACAAACCATGCGTGATGCTAACACACTATTCATTGTACAAATATTGTCATAAGGATGGCCATAGAACTGTCCTATGTAGAGTGCGAACCACATGCCAGGCGCTATCATATGAACTTTGCATTCGTTCTACTGAGGATAGAAGTCATGTGTGAGTGGAATCCTTGCCCATTACATACATTAGCAAACTAAGGTTCAGAGCAGGCAAACCATTTTGCCAAAGCCCATCAGTAACTGGCAAAGCCAAGATTAGAATCCTGTCTTTCCGAAAAAATAATCCCCACCACATGGGGTTGTATTAAGGATGTCATGTGAAAAGACAATGGTGCAGGCTTTGTAGTAGCCACTGAAAGTTTAGTTTGGTTTCCTAGACCCATATCTTGTGATTTGAACATCTGGAAAAGAATCCATATATTCCTCACCATCACCACTCCCAAAATGCGAGTTTTAACGATGAGGAAAGTGAGAGCAATTTTTTCAAACATCATGCCATATAGTTTATATCAATTCATTTAATCATTTTACAGGCATCTATGAAAACATTTCTTTGCCAGAGTCTTTCATAAATATGTATCAAACTAATCCTCACATCAGCCCTGAGAAATAGGAATTATTTCTTCATTTTAATTAATGAGTAAACAGAGGCTTAGAGAATCTAAATGATTCTCCTAGGATTGCAAAGCTAATAAGTGACAGGGATGAAATTCAGACCCAGGTGTGCCCTGATGCCAAAGTCCTAATTCTTTCCACTACACCTGCCTCATTGGTGGTCCAGTAATGGGGATGAGACAGAGATACCATTAAATAACAAAACACGGCTGTGTGGCCTGCACCCTGCAAGATATACACACTACCATCATCATTTCTCCACAGGAAGGCATTTCAAAAAAGGATTCATACAGAGGGAAGCATTGTTTTTTTGGCTTTCTGGAGGTGGTGAGTTACAGATGTCATAGGAAAGGGGGAAAAAACAACACGAGTAGATGCTCAGAGAAGGAAGGAGGGGGCCTGTTGCGGGGTTTGGAGTACCCCAGTGTAGCTGCATTGTGTGGGTTTCAAGAAGGGAAGATTGGACACATAAAGAGGTTGGGTGAAACCAGGAAGACCTTGACTGTTACGGTAAGAAGATTCAAGAAAGCGAGTTAAAAGCTCCATGTTGGCCAGGCACGGTGGCTCACACCTGTAATCCCAGCACTTTGGGAGGCCAAGGCAGGTGGATCACCTAAGGTCAGGAGTTTGAGACCAGCCTGGCCAACATGGTGAAACCCCTTCTCTACTAAAAATACAAAAATTAGCCAGGCATGGTGGTGCATGCCTATAATCCCAGCTACTCAGGAGGCTGATACAGTAGAATCTCTTGAACTCAGGAGGCAGAGGTTGCAGTGAGCCAAGATTACACCACTGCACTCCAGCCTGGGCGACAGAGTGAGACTCCATCTCCAGAAAAAAAAAATTAAAAAAGCTCCATGTCACACCACTGTTCCCTGCTTCTAGGGACATCATGTCTCCCAAGAAACTGTGGCTCAGGTGCCCTAGGAAATGAGCAAAAGCGACAAGGCTCCTCACAGTGGGACAGAAATGGCAAGTTTCTCCCGAGTGGAGTGAACCGAGGTGTGGTTGGAAATCAAGCGGTCAGGACCTCCACCCTCAGCCCCGCCCCTCCTAGCCCACTCACTGTGTCTGTGGCCTTGCACAGCTCGCCACTTGGGACGTGTCCTTCTGTTCCTGTGGAGGATGAGAAGGCTGAAGAGATGATTTCTTCTTATGGGCAATCCTATCAGTGCTCAGAGAAGAATTCACTTTGGCTTAAACCACCAGACCCCTGCAGTCTTCCAGATTCTCAGGCCCACAGGCACTCACATCTAAGGAAAAAAGGGAATCTAACTTTTTCTGAGCCCTGACTAGATACCAAGCCCCGTCACCCACATGATCTCATTTTAACATCACAGACGCACCATGCAGCTTTGATTAACCTCATTTTTACAGACAAAAAAAAAAAATCTCTGAAGCTCAAGGACACGCAGCTAGTTCAAAGTCTCATTTGTCTGACTCCAAAACATGAATTGTTTTCACTACATCAATGATTCTCAGTCCTGGCTGGTTATTAGAATAACGTGGGAAAGTCCCACCCCAGGCAAATTGCTGGTAGTGCAGTGCAGGAACTGGTAAGCTACAGAAGCCCCTTGGGTGATTCTATTTGCAGCCAAGGTTGGGAAACTCTGTGCTAATGTTTGCTTCTCTCTAAGACAATAGCCCTTGAGTCTCATCAACCACAACCCCCATCCCTAGCCTCAGCCCCACCCACCAAGTAAACCCAGTCCAAGTCTCTGACTCTTTTTACAAGTTAATATTCATTTCATCACATTTAATTAACACAGGGAGACTGGAGCTGTCTCAGCTTCGCACCCAGCTAACAGGAGTCCACGCCTCCCTTGGAGTTCAATCACGGCACTGTCTTACGCAATTAGCTTCCTTCGCCCTGATCTGAAGGGTCTGTGCCCATAAATATCAACCAATTTTATTGATATTTGTAATTAAAACCACCCAACGGGTCACACTCGGTTCAGCAAGTTTGCAACACACACATCCATAATGGGAACATGAGCGCATTTGTATTTGACATTTGATAGATAATAATCCTGGCCATTTCTCATTTTCAGAACATCCTGTGGGTACCAGCTAATTAAGCCGAGCATGTCTCCTGGGACTGACGTCGTTCTTCAGACAGACTCCTTTGATTGTCTTTGTTTCTGAAGTTTCAAGGAAACCAAGGACCAAAAAAGTGGGGTGACAGGCTAAAACCACAGAGAGAAAACTACATGGGTACTAGGTCTGATCTTGCCAACTTCTCAAGTTTCTTCTCCAAACTTCTCTCTGTATCCTTCTAAGGATAAAACCAATGGCATTAAGGATGAGCTCCAGGCCTCCCTTGGAAGCCCCAGTGCTATTTCTCTGGAGTTATTTCTGCTGCCTCAATTGGACCCTTCCATCCATAAAATTATATGGACAAAGCCTAACTCAACCCTGACTTCCAATCTAGAGCTGGAGTAAGATCTGCCACCACCAGCAGCACCACAATCTCACCTCTATGTTGGCCCAGTTGTAGCTACACCCACAGGTTGTTTGAGATCTGGTTGGGTGGTTTTTACCTGAAAATTACCAACAAGTTCATCTGTGAACTCCCTGGAGACCCAGAGCAGGACTCTGCTGAAGGCTCTGTCATGGAGCATAGCTAGTTGCTGAGCACGGGCCCAGCATAGGCTCGGGTTATTAGATCTGCCCACTTCTCATTTTCCCTTTGAAATCTCATCACTCCAATATACCCAGTGAGATTTAAGACCTTTTCCCAAATCCCCTAACAGCATTCTTATAAGAAACATTCAGTCTTCAAGGGAGTTAAAAGGAAGCCATTCTATCCTCAAGGGCAGCCTTTTGAGTGCCTTGGCAGGAGGATTATTACTCTTGTGACCTAGAATAATCCCTGCATTTCCAAACCCCACAAGGTAGAAGGGAATTCCAGCAGGGAGGAGGCCAGAAGAACAGGTGGAGAGAGATAGCATGGAGACAGATGAAGATATACTGCCCGGCAATGGTGGAGGAGGGCATTTTTACAGTATTATGACTTATGCCACACCTGTTTCCAGAAATGATTTGAGACCATTACAATAATAGGCACATATCCAATAAAGCCATTAAAATAGAAATAAGGAGGACCTATAAATGTCTGCAAAGGGTGACATTGAAGAAGTCATGATTCCCATTATCCCAAGAGCTCAAGTAGAAACAGTAGGTTGAGAGTGAGCATGAGGTGATTCATTGATCATTGGGACAACTAACTCAATTATTCAGGGACTAAGGATTCAATTTGTGATTAATCTTGGCCTCTGGCATCAGCCCTTTCTCTCTTCTGCTGCCTAACTATGAGGAATTTTACTATCCAGCATGCATCCATCCAAACGTAGCCATGAAAAGGGATGAAATCAGAGACTCTTACAGTTGGAAAGGATTTGATACATCACTTAGGAAGGCTTCCTACTAAGTCCAGGAGTTCCTTTTAAAGCTGCTGTTTCAGAAAGTTGTGCAGCATCAACTTGAATACCTCTAAAGACAGGACACTCACCACCAGATGAGGTATTTCTCATGAGGGTCCATTCTACTGCTAAACAATCCGATCATTAGAACCCTCCTTCTTATATAAAGATAAAATCAAATCCCTTAAAAAATCAAGCCATTATCCCAAACTTGATGAATCTTCAAAATTACCTGGGATGCTTTTGAAAAGAGATTCTTGTGGAAGTACAAATTAGTATGCCACTTAAGAAAACAGTGTGGCATTATCTGCTAAAGCTGAACATATGCACTCCTATGACCCTACAATTTACTCCAAGGCATACACTCAACATAAATACTTGCACGTGTGCACCAAGAGGCCAGTACAAAAACATTCTCAGCAGTGTCAGTCACAATAGTCAAAAACTGGAAGGAATCACAATGTCTGTCAACAGTAAAATGGGTAAATTTTGATATATTCATAAAATTGCACATCCTAGAGCAGAGCTGTCCAAAAGAACTTCATATGATAATGGAAATTTTCCGTTCTGCACTGTCCAAGATGGCACCCATTCATCACATGAGGCCACTGAGCACTTGAAATACGGCTCGTGCAAGAGAGAAACTGAATTGTTTATTTTAATTAATTTTAATTTAAATAGCCACATGTGGCTAGTGACTACTGTATTGGCTAGCACTGTGTAAGGGTGGAACAGTGAAAAAGAACAGACTATACAGAGTAACATGAATGAAACTCATTCAGTGAAAGAAGCCAGACCCTCCCAAAATGCCTACTTTTTATGACTACATTTATATAAAGTTCAAAAATAGATCAAATGAAATTAAATGTTTAGGGATGAAAAATTAAACGCCAGCGTTTGGGAATGCCTGCTTCAGAGGTAAACTTTGGATGGGAAGGAACACAGAGGGTCTGAGGGGAGCTCCTGGACCCTGGCAGTGTCCTATTTTGTGGATGTGTAGACATGACACAGGTGTTCACTTAGTGATAAATCATCAAGCCATTCTTTGTTCTGAGCACTTACCTATATGTGCTTTATATTTCACAACTTAAAAAGGGCTAAAATACAAATTGTCTTGGCAACGCTTTTGCAAATCTAAAATTATTCTAAAGTTACATGCTTATTTTTTTTAAACATCCATTCCCAGTGCTCTGCTCCAGATGTGTTGAATCAGATTTTCTGGGGATAGGTTCTAGGAATCCATATTTTTCTAAAGCCCTGGGGTAATTTTGTTGCACAGCTTGGTGGAAAAGCGTGGTTTCTCCTCCGTGAGGAAGCTCTTCAAGGCTGAAGGTCCCCAGAATCTTTTCCTTTTCCTACAGTGCTCGTTTCCAATTCCTAAGCAGCCAGGTGTCCCCTCTGGGCTCACTCTCGAGGGTAATAGCTCACTTCACTCTTCCTGGCCTGGGTTCTGTGGCTTCCTGCTCTGGTTGGCCCCTTCCACACAAGCCAAGGCAAACCCAGATGTTCACCACTTGTGTTAATAGCGGGGGAAGGATGAAAAGGGAGAAGCCTAAGAGTGACTGAGGGGGAGGTGAAAACTCCTGCTTAAAAGGAGAGTTCAGAATCTCATTTGTTCTGTGTCCCAGGCCTGGTTAACCACAGATAATGGCAGGCATTAGGAGCGTAACCCTCGACCCATCCGTTGAGTGGGCAGATGTGTGCAGGGTCCTTATTTGTCCTGTGACCTGCTTGATCTTCCCACCCTGGAATCCAGTTCTCCTCTCCATGCAGTAAGCTGCCTCCTTCAGGTCCTTCCTTAAGGTGTGAATTTTCCAGATAAGCCCTGTTGCTCCAGAAAAGCCACAAATACTGGAAATTTCTCCACCTCTCTGTTGTGCTTGGAAACTGCAGGTCTCAGGTATCAAGAAGGCAAGGTTGACCAGGAGGAGCGAGATGCAGGATTTCGCTAGAGAGGGAGCTGATGGGCATATACCCTGAGCCAGGCAGGTGAAAGGTCACATTCTAGGAAAATCAGCAGAAGCAAAGAGAAGCAGACAGTAAATAATCACTGATCTTGTGTGACCCCATCAACTTGGAAGCAGGCAGGCCGGGCCACTGTTCTGCACAGCTCCAGCCCCCTGCCATCAGTCACAAGACATGCTTGAGTTGCGCAGTGCCCAGCCTGTACAGCATATGTGGCTGCTCTGTAGGCTGGGTAGCTTTTTTAATTGTCATTATTAGTGGAAGAAACTGAGGATCAGAGAAGCACTGGGACTCATGCGCATCTCCTGGCTTCAGCCCTGTGCTGTTACGACCACAGTGCCCACTGCCCCAGTGGCTTCTGTTGACAGACCTGTGCTCACAATCAAAAAGACGCCCCATAAAAACCCACTGGGCAGTGATCAGCAACTCGCCTTCTCTAGGTAGAGAGAGGACCCAGGTAATGCCAGAGAGGCAGGCCTTCAACAGTCATGGTGGCCTCCGCGCCTGGCTTCTGAAAACCATAGCTAGAGGCTAGTCGGGTTTCCAGCATCAGGAAAAGAGCCTGGGGAATGCATGGGGAGGGAAAGCCAGACTCCACCTGCAAGGAACACACTCACTGAAAGCAGAGCAGGACATAATTAAGCCTAATTGTGTAAACCCTGCCATGCCTTCGAGTGAGAGGGATGCCAAGGTCTCGTGTTTCCTTCCGTTCTATGCAGCCTGTGCATCCCTACCTGAAGGTCACCCTCATTAACGTTGCCAAAAAAAGCCATCCCTCTCCACATGCACTTGTTCCACTCATAATAGGACCTCTTGCCTGCTGCCTGGGCAGATTAGGCCAGTGAATGCGTGTATGTCAGTGTGTCGGTGCGTGGGTGTCCGTGTGTATGTCCGTGGCAGCACGCGTGTCTTTCATAGCTGCATGTGTTTTATTTTCTTCGGGTATTTTATGTGCTTACATAGTCAAAATTAATGGGATCAGGTTGAGATTCAGATGACATCACATGGGTGACTCACATCTTGATAGATAGATAGATTTTCCTCCTCTGCATTCCTTTCAAGGTAACCTGGACTTGTCACACAACCACTGGGGGATGCCAGGAAGAGAGATTTTTTTCATGGACATTTGACATGGTCATTACAGTTAACAATCCTGGCTGTGGGGAAAAGGGCAGGGAGCAAAGTCCATGGCTAGTCCTTACCAGGGGCAGAGAGATGGGCTGATTAGTGGAGTCATCAACCCAGCACAGGCAAATATTGAGTACCCTGTCCGTCCTTCGCAGGACCACCAAGGGGCCACCTCATTGCAATCTGCATTGCTCTCGCTCCTGGAAATGACCTTTCTTCAGCCACCCTTTTTATGGCTCACCCTTTCCTCCTGGAAAGTAAACAGGTACTGAAGGGGAAATAAATAGTTATAGCAGCTGGAAAACATTGCAACAACAGATCAAGGTGGCAATTACGCAATCATTTCCGCTACTAGAATTTCTTTGAGGGAAATTTTCATTGGGAAAATGCAAAGCAGAGGGGCTGACTCATACTCTTTTCGACTCAACTCGCCCAGAATGCAGGAACCCACAGGTCACACTGACAAGGCAGGATGACCTCTAATTTTCAAAGACTAAAGATACCAACGAAGTCTTTCTCTCCTCGCTCTTTCTACGTGGTGTTTCTCCATCTTTGCAGCAGCTCTTTTTTCCTGGGGTTTGGGGAGCTTTTCCTTCCTAAAACATTAACTTGCAGACCCAGAGCCAAGTTAAATCAAGCGATCTAGGTTTTTAAAAACAAGCTGCTTGTTTGTTTGTTTGTTTTCATGCTAGACTAGCTCTAGGAGCAAAACTCTGTCTGTGTATACACAAGGCAGATCAGTCAGCCTTTGTCATGCAGTTTAGGGCAGTCATGGTCACCCTCATCACCTGGTAGAGAGGATACAGACACTCAGACTCCAGAACTCGAAGGGCTCTTCTGACCACCCTGTGCAATCTTCTCTCCTTCCAGGTGAGGACACAGAGAGGTAAAATAGTCACACCGCAGTGAGTGACATCTGAAGGATGAGAGTCCTGAGCTTCTGAAACCTCCAGCACTGAGCTCTTCCACACGCACTGTTCAGGATGCCTTCAACTCTCCTCAACCTGCTTAGCAGCAATAAAAATAATCTGCAGTGACAGTTTCAAGAGCTCCCTCTGGCAAATCCAGAAAAATGGCAAACTCTGCTTTTGTTGTTGTCGTTGTTGTTTTGTTTTGTTTTGTTTTGTTTTGTTTAGCAGAGCAGGAAAGTCCTGTGAAGATGAACTCAGAGGGAATGTGTAAGTTCGTCGAGGGGTAAGGGACATCTCTGTATCCTATCCAAGAATCCTGACCGAGTCAGGAAGTCTTCGCATTTCCGTCCACAAAGACCTGGCTCCATCCATCCACCCTTCCCTGCTGAGAAGTCCTGTGACTCTCTGAAGTAAGACCTCAGCCTCTGCTCATGCCCTGTAGAATCATCAACAAGGCAGATGTCCCCAAGCCCTCCCACTTTTTCTTTCTACCCTTTTGTTGTCACCCTGATCCTACCTGTATGTCACGTAAGTCCCTGTCCCCAAACTGAAACCACCTTCTACTCGATCTTCCCTGGAATCCACTCCATGCTCTTGACCTGAGCTCAGCCCCTATGTCAATATCCCAGCCTTTTATTAAGACCCGTTGCAAGCTCCACATCCTCCCTGGAGCTTGCCTTAGTTTCCCAATTGAAGCCAATATATCCTTCATTGTGTGTTTCTAGCCCTTTGTGTTTCCATTATCATGTGATAAGTGGCTCCCCAACACAGAATTGAGTTGTTTATGATGACATTCTTTACTGGAAGCTCCTTACCTGGCCTGGCCCTTTTCAGAGGAACCAGAATCTTAACTTTGATTGTCAGTAGCCTCCAACCCGGTAAGATTCACATAGAACTATATATATGTGTGTGTGTATGTGTGTGTGTGTGTGTGTGTGTGTGTGTATATATACATACACACACACACACATATACATGTACACATAATACATATATATATATATACACACATACATACACATGTATGTATGTATGTATATGCAGGTCTTTTCCTTAGGATTTTATCAAAATGACAAATAGATTGGTCAAAAGAGAATTCATACAAAGTCGGAGGGACAACCAGTTTCATTTATAGCATATAATGGTCTAGAGAGAATTATATGGCCATAGAGAAATTCTGATATCTGTCTCAGCTTCTCCACCCTGTGCGGCTAGAATAACCTTGAGCAATGGCACCAGTGGGAAGATCCCTGCCCTCTCAAGATTCTCTTCTGCTTGTGCAAAGCTGTCCTCAGAGTCAGGTGGGCCCCTTTTTCCTCAGGGCCCTTGAGGCTGTGACCCAACAGCTTGGTACTGACCTCAGTACTTTCCCTTAGTCCTCAATCTTCATCCGATTTTCTCCCCAGGCTTAGCTTTTCCCAGTGTTCCCTGCAAATTTGCCAGCTGCCTGCTTTACTGAGATGGGAATGGCCATTTGATGCTGTAACTCTCTGTCTCTTTAACCAGAGATCTCTGTCTGGGCTTCTAACAGCTCCCTTCTCTCTTCAGCATCCACATGATAAGGGAATTTTTAACTTGGTTTGGCAGGAACCCACTTCTTGAACTCTAAGGTGAAACAGATTCCGCATTGTGCGGTGCGCTACTACAGTATACTAACATTTCCCGTGAGACATGTCTACACTCCTCCCAGACACAAGAGCTAGTCAATGGTGTCGTGTGTCCCTTCAAGGCAAATACTACTTGTAATAGTACTGAGCATGTTCTGCCCTATATAATAATAATAGTAAGTCTGTCTTTTCACCGTTGATAAAGAAATTACCTGCCATCTCATCTACATATTTTTCACAGCAGTCCTATGAGATATCAGTATCCCCATTTTACAGTTGACAAAACCAAGGCTCAGAGAGGTTGCATGACCTCCATGTGATCAGATAGTAAGTGGCAGAATTAGAACACAAACCCAAATCATTCTGTCTTCAAATCCTTTATGCCACACTGCCCTCTCTTTGTAGCTTCTTGAATCTCTCTTTTCCCAAATCTTAGAGGCCCCAAGTAGCACTCCCTACACTGATACCATCCCTCATAGCATATAGGTCTTTCCTCTTCCTCATAGCACAGTAGGTCTGTATCTCCTTTAATCCACGTATGACCCCACAAACATTTACCAGGGACCTGCTCTGGAGACTGCACTAGGATAGGTACTGTGGGGCTTGCAACCTAGTTGTAAGGTTCCCAAGGCTCTTGAGCCAGTAAATAAATCTATCTCCAAATATTATTGATTGAGAGAGAGTTAAGACCTGACCCACCCAAACACCCACTTCCAGGGATATTTTCATTTTAGCAGGGAAATTCTAGCACCCACGAGGACTCCTAGTGATGGAAATTCAGACTCTGGAGTAGGCCGGTGGAGGAGACATTTGGGCCAAGGGCTGCCTTTTAGATGTTTTTGGGTTTTTTACAACAGCACTTTTCTCTCTTTGTTTGTCACACCCTCCAGTGGCTATCTACCACTAAGAGCTCCTGTGCTACTATGATGGCTGGCCCTTGCTGCTTTTTTTTTTTTTTTTTTTTTTTTTCTGATGGAGTCTCGCTCTGTTGCCAAGCTGGAGTACAACGGCACAACCTTGGCTCACTGCAACCTCCTCCTCCAGGGTTCAAGCGGTCCTCCTGCCTCAGCCTCCCGAGTACCTGGGACTATAGGCATGTGCCCATCTAACTTTTGTACTTTTAGTAGAGACGGGGTTTCACCATGTTGGCCAGGATGGTTTTGATCTCTTGACCTCATGATCCGCCCGCCTCGGCCTCCCAAAGTGCTGGAATTACAGGCATCAGCCACCGCGCCCAGCCCTTGCTATCTTTATTTCCTGCTATACTTCCAGGGCTCCAGGCTTCCTAACTTGGTTTGGAAGGAACCTGCTTCTTGAGGCAAGACCTCAGCCTCTCTGAGGCAAGACAGCCTATCCTCCCAGGATCCAGAATGATTCTCAGGGGCAGGAATTCTAAGAAAGTTCTCTTCAAGGGCAAGCAGGGCATCTTCCATGTGCCTCTGCCTCTCTGTAGCCCCTGCCAAAAGCTGTGTCTTCTGATTACAGGAAGGAGCTGCTTCCTCCTGTTTTCTAACCAGAGCCCTTCTCTGACCCTAATAACAGGGCTGTTCAAATCAGCAGCTCCATTTTATACAGCCAGAACCACACAAACTCACATCAGCAGGTCAACCACAGAGCCAGATTTAACAAGGGCAGGTAAGATTTAAGGAGAGAGATGCTGTGGAAAGGGAAGTGTGCAGGCGGTCAGCCACGAACTTGACTTCATAATGCTGTCCAGAGCTAATGCCAATGATCAGTTTTATGCTCCTTAATAATAATCATCATCATCCTAACATTAAAGCTGATTCCATCATCTTCTGTAATGATCCTGTTTTTTTTTCTGAATTTATAATTTAAAAGCACTTTGACCCGCAGCATCTCATTTAACCCTCATAGCAATCTTGTAAGGTAAGTATCATTATTATTTTCAGAAAAATACAGAGGAAAGATGAAAAAAGCACAGGCGTGAGAGTCAGAGCCTAGGTTTCAGTCCTAGTTCTGTCTTTCCACGGGGTCACTCTGCCTCCCAGACTATTAAAAACCTCCATTTAATTACTACTTGGAGATCCAGGAGATAGGATTCACCTCCTCGAAGCTTAGGCAATGGTTTCGAGGGCTGTGAGACAGAGATGTATTTTGGGCCTTGTTCTTTTGAACAAGTACCTGAATGGCTTGTTACCACTCCTGGCTGCGTTGGCGTGCAGGCCTGCCTACTGACAAGAAGAGATAGGTAAGTATCCACCTCTCTGCTGATGATAGCTGTTTATTACCCAGAGTGGGCGTGGTCGCAACAGACAATCTGTCTGGCAAGCTCGTTTGGGTCAGAAAGAATGGCTTTAGATCAACCCCTCTAAAACCAAAATCATCTTTACAGAAAAACAACCTTCAGCATTTTGTTGCCTCAGTGATTCTTTACTGCAATTCAAAAGGTTCAGTTACCAGGGAATAGAATGTGTAAATAATTCAACTGGGTGATTTTACCAGGAAGCTACCCTGCTCAAAATTTAAAATTCTAGTGGGCAGCATTTCCCAAAGCGTGTTCCAAGAATTCTTTGCAAAGGAGGTTTGCTAGAGGTTGACTTGTGTTCCCCGGAAAGATACAGTGAAGTCCTACCCTTGCTTTCTCAAGTACTCTTGAATGTAAACTTATTAGAAAATAGAGCCTTTCGGCCAGGTGTGGTGGCCCATGCCTGTAATCCCAGCACTTTAAGAGGCTGAGGTGGGAGAAACACTTGAGGCCAGGAGTTCAAGACCAGCCTGGCCAACATGGCGAAACTCCATCTCTATTAAACACACACACACACACACACACACACACACAAATTAGCCAGGTGTGGTGGCACACACCTCTAATCCCAGCTACTCAGGAGGCTGAGGTAAGAGAATCACTTGAACCTGGGAGGCAAAATTTGCAGTGAGCCAAGATCACACCACTGCACTCCAGCCTGGGCGACAGAGTGAGAATGTCTCAAAAAAAAAAAAAGGCCTTTGCAGATGTAATAAAGTTAAGAGGAGGTCATTGTGGATGGAGTAGGGTGAGAGCTTAACCTAATAGGACTGGTGTCCTTATAAGAAGAGGTGAGAGAGACACAGGGGAACGCCCTGTGACAGCAAAGGCAGAGAACAAAGTGATGCAGCTGCAAGCCTCAGAATGACAGGAATTGCCGGCCACCAGAAGCCAGGAGAGAATCCTGGAGCAGGCACTCCCCTAGAGCCTTAGAGAGAGACTCGCCCTGCCAACACCTTGATCCTGGACTTCCGGGCTCCAGAACTGGCAGACAAGGCATTTCTGTTGTTTTCAGCCACCCAGTTTGTGGTACTTGGTTACAGCAACCCTGGGAACCTCAAGCAAGGTCAATGGCAAAGTAAGCTTTACAAATGATGAGTTCACCACTGCCCTGAACCCAAAGAACCTGAGAAAAAACCTGATGCTCCACCCCAGACCAGATCAATCAGGATCTCTGAGGGGTGGATATCTCTTAAGTTTTTGTTTTTGTTTTTTTTTGTTTTTTGAGACGGAGTTTTGCTCTTATTGCCCAGGCTGGAGTGCAATAGCACAATCTCGGCTCACTGCAACCTCTACCTCCCAGGTTCAAGCGATTCTCCTGCCTCAGCCTCCTGAGTAACTGGGAATACAGATGCCCACCACCACATCTGGCTAATTTTTGTATTTTTAGTAGAGACACGGTTTTGCCATGTTGGTCAGGCTGGTCTTGAACTCCTGACCTCAGGTGATCCACCCACCTCGGCCTCCCAGAATGCTGGGATTACAGGCATGAGCCACTGCACCTGGCCTCTTTTAAGTATTTATTTAAGGCTCACCGGGACATTCTGATGCACAGTGAGGGTAGAAAACTACTGAGCCACACAAAATGAAGCAGGTCTCCTTGCCTGTACATTTTTTAGCACTGCTAATATGCTGTGAATTACCAAGAGGAGCTATTTAGGATGCAGAACTTCTCAAACTTATTTGACCACACACACAAAAAAAACACCTTTTTATTGACCATCTTCTTGAAGACACATGTTTTGCAGAATGCGCTTTGGAAAACATTGGTAAGTTTTATTGGGCATTTTGTGGTGTCAGGGAGTACCTGGTAACACCTGCCTTGAAATCTTTCCAAGTCAAGATTATTGCAGTGATGGTCCATGTTACAGAACGTGGCTCTCTTGCACCGATGTGTGCATGTTCTGGAATAGATCAGAACTCATGGATGAAGAGTGAAAAGTACTGGGTCTAAAAAGCAAGTCATATGTTTCGAACAGACTCCTTTATTTTTCATAATATGCCTTGAACCTACTCCTGGTCTCATTGATTACCAAGGCATACAGCTCTGTCTTTAAATACTAATAGTGGCGAGCTATGCTCATCCCACTGAGACCAGAAATTTAAATAGCCTCTGTTCAAGCTATCTTAGGCAGAGTTACAAAAGTATCATATATGTGATGTGCATGTGGGCACATGCATCACATCTGTTTATGCAAGACATCCCAAAGCTCATGCACTCCACCCTTCCCACCACACAAGTATTCTTAACCTATGGTTTCTGGGTTGAGAGAGGCCCATGAACTTAAAGAAGAAAAAAATGTATCTTCCATTTTTCGCCAACTTCCTTTAATTATGAATGTAGGTGACAAATGACAGGAGGATTAGCAGTGCCTCAGACTCTGTCACCAATTAAAATAGCAGACTTTCATATCATATCACATTACAGGGGTCCCAGACATCTCAAAATATCATGTATACTCATCATTTCCTGAAAACTATCGTGTTTATTCGACCTGCTGCTAGATCTTGTTATTCAACGCATTAATGAGGAAGCACATGTATTATTTATCGCAAATTTATTTTTGTTTAATAATTTGATCATTGTTTTTCAACATAATTGATTTCCTTTGCAATCATGTGTATTTGATTCTCTGCATTTAAAAATATTATTCTGGTTTATAGGCATCACCTGACTGTCAAGCGTCCGTGGCACAAAATAAAAGGTGACGAATCCCTGTTCTAGATCATCTACTGTACATAGGATCACCTAGAACACTTGTTGAAAATACAGAGTCCTGGCTCTTACCCTCAGAAAATCCAATTCAGTTGATCATAGGTGGGAACCAGGAATCTACATTTTTAAAAGCATACCAGAAGATACTGGTGCAGATGTTTGTGGACTACATTTTGAGAAAAAGTACTCCACTTATTCTTAAATTTACTCTTGGGTCAATAAGATTATCAGAGTCAAGTCCTTGAGTAATGTTGTCTTAACTTGTTAATTATTTTGGTGGTTTACACTACATCATTATGTCATTGACACACTTAGAAGATAAGTAGTGGCTATGTAAAATTTGATGCTATGACCATTGTCAAGATATCCTCATGTTAATCAACTTCATAACAGTATATTTCTATGAAGATCCCTGATAGAACTTTTATGCATCTCAAATAAGAAAAAGCCAGGCTAACCCTAAGCAATTACTTTTTTACAATCTTTGAACATTATTAATCCTGAAATGATTTTCCTTTTCACATTGGCCACGAGAAGCTTAAACTCAATTTTATGTCTTTTCTCTAGCAATCATTGAGACTCAACTCTACGTCTTCTCTCTAGCAATCATATGATACGCATTTGTAGCCAAATAATATTTTGGATGTCTTTGTTCATTCTCCATTCGAGCCATACTAGAAGCCTTCATTTCCTACCTCTGGGAAGCATTGTTATAATAAAAAAATTTTTTAAAAAGCCGAGGTTCAGTTTATAAGCTTCAGAATAGGTTCGTGGCAGAGGGAATAGATGAGAAAATACATTTTAAGTCTCACATCCAGGCACGTCAACATCATATGCCACAACCCTAAAGGGATTATGGCAGAAAGTGCATGCTAGAAATAATAAATATGGAATAACTGGTGAAGCTTCACACTACCCTGTTCTGGCCATGAACTGGAGGATGGGAATGTGGGCAGAGAAGCAAGCTGGCACTCACCTGGAACTCTGGGTTCTGATACCCATTCTCCTTCCCAATAGGATTGTGGGTGCCAGAGAAGCAGAGACCTTGGTGCAGCCTGGGAGGCACCTCTCCATGCAGCTTCTCTTACCCCACATGCCAGCATGCTAGGACAGCTGTAATGAAACATGGTGCCACCACAGAAAAAGAAGGCCTGAGGGAGTTCCCTGGGTTCTCTGCAGTCCCAGAGGAACAGAGGAGAAGGTTTCAAATGTTCCTGTTCACCACCCACAAATGCAGTTGAAAGGGCTTCCATAGACCCAAAGAGGCATGGTGGTTCAGACAGAAGATGCCTTAGCTAATCCTGGCACAGATCAACATCAGAAACCAGGTGGAAACACCTTACAAAGAACAGGGATTACTTTCTCAGGCCATGCAAGAAGGTATGCAAAAATGGAACTGTCTTAAGTTTTCCTAATTCAACTCATTTTCTGTTCCAAGCCTCTATTCTGCCTGTCCATGCAAATTGGCTTCTAGTCAATTCAGATTTTTCCAGCCCATTGGGTGTATTTTCCCTCACTGTCTTTTCTCACTGGGGTTGCTTTGATGTTCTCAGGAGCCCACACAGTGCTGGAGCAGGGAGGGGGCTGTGGTCTGAATGTCTGTGTCCCTCCAAAATTTATGTTGAAATGTAGTCCCTAATAAAATAGTGTTAAGAAGTGGGGCCTGTAGGAGGTGATTAGGTCACGAGAGCTCCACCGTCATGAATGGGATCAATGCCCTTAGAAAAGGGCTCGAGGGAGGTTGTTTGGCCCTTTTTTCCCTCTGCCTTCTGCCATGTGAGAACACACAAGAAGGCACCTCTTTGGAGCAGAGAATAAGCCCTCACTAAAGCTGCTGGCACATGGATTATGGACTTCTCAACCTTTAGAACTGTGAGAAATACATTTTTGTGGCTTATAAATTATGTAGATTAAAGTATTTTGTTATAGCAGCCAGAGCAGACCAAGACAGAAGGTGAGAGTTGCATCTATCCATATCCCTGGTCATCAGCTGTCCAGGTAGCCTCTCCTGTTGCATTCTTGTTTCTGTTGCTTTTTTACCATCATTCACACCCTCTTCGTAGTTTCTGCTATGGCCACTGGCCTTACCGGGGAATTGCGCAGTGTCTGATCTTCATAACCACATCAGCTTCTCCTGCCCCCAGCCTGAGAGAGCTCAGGCTGAACAGTAGGCTCCCCATCTGTTCTTTCCAGAAACCTTGTGCCCTGCATCCTTCAGGGCTTTAACTTTTGATCCCAAGCAAGCCTTTTCTCTGAAATGTTGGTCTTGGTTATATGTTTCAAAGATCTATTTTGTAATGCCAAATCTGATGTAAATATTGACTGTGTCTGCATTTCTGCTTGTAAGGATGGTGACCAGGTTGAGGGTTGGTCTGGGGGTTGGGGGCAGGGGGCATGAGACAGGGAGATGGGAAGCAAGGAGACAGAGGGATTATCAAGAATAAGACACTTGTCAATGAATGCCTCCAGATGCATTCCTGCTGCACATCTCTCAGTGTCAGCCCACCTTTCTCCTGTGTTTATTACCTTCCTACTTTTACCCTGACTTTTCAATTTTATTCTCTTGAATTTAAAAATGTACACACACACACACGTGTGTGTGCATGTGCACGTGTGTTTAAGAGAGAGATTTGGCTCAAATCTTTTGCAGATTAAAGCGAAATACAGATAACAAAATGTAACATATCACAGGAGGAGCTCTCTAAGTTATGGCTATTATATTATCCCCATTTTACAGCTAATTAATAATAGATGTTCACTAAATCATGAGTATTTTATTAACTCCATGTTTCCAGCCAAGGAAATGAATCCAAGAGTTTCAGTTACTCGTTCAACATGATACAGCCCCTGAGTGGAAGAACCAGGACACAAAATCAGACCTCTTCTGCCTCTAAACCTCACACTGTTTCCACTGTAACACATTTGTCCTACTCTAATGTTTTCTCAAGTGATTTTACATTCATGCATCCAGGGGGTTCATTACACTTTGCTACCAGGGTATTAAGATGGATCTTCAGATGATGTTTCTAAAGAACCTTAAATTTCCCAGGTGAAAATGCTCATTGAAAACAGCTGTATTGTCAGCTCTTAATTATTGGGGACAGGCTGAGACAGGGATAGAGCAGCTGGATGAGATTCATAATTAATCCCTCTTTTGAGTCAAGAGTCTCAGCCTGCCTCTCCCATCACTTCTCCCGCTGGAGCTGCCCACAGGAAGAAAATAGTTTCTTAAGAGGCTCATCTCCCAAGACTCAAGCTGCAGAAAGCTGTCCTGATCAGACGTCTGCATTAATGTGGCTTTGAAGCTGCAATCCAGAACAAAGGAGCACAAAGTAACTTAAGGAGAGAGTGGGGTGATCCAAGGAAGAGAATTTCAAGACACAGTATTTCACCAGAAACAAATGTTCAAACCAGTGTTGCGGGTCAGGGCAGAGCCTAGGCTACCACTCACTGTTTTCCGGAATTAGTGTCGCCCTTGTTGGAGAGTGGAATGGAGCTCCCAGTCTGTCAGACACTGAAAAGAGTCAATAATCCAAAGTGTCTACCAAACACCTACTTTTGGTTATATCTGGGGAGTTATTGAATCAACCTCCATTTGTGAGTCTGGATCCCCAAGAAGGAACCCCCAAGGTCTTGGCCAGTGACAGTGGGGATGGCAGAGAGAGCAGAAAACTTGCTGCTTTGTTATAGAATTGTTCTTTCCAGAGCCTCAAACATTTACCAAGTGCCTGCTATGTGACAGGCAGTGAAACCTAGCAATTACTGCAAACAGAGGAGTGCCAACACACACACTCCAGCCTTTAGCATCAGAGCTTACAGAGGCACTAAGGGACTAATTGATAGGTAATAAGTCACATAACAACCAATGCCTCCAAGTGCATTCCTGATGCATTTCTCTTGAACACCAGCTTTACCCCTGTCTTTATTATCTTCCTCCTTTTACCCTGACCTGTACCTTGGATGCCGCGGATAAATGAGCAACAGGTCACAGGTCATACTAGTACAAAAACCACACACTGCTCCTTTCTTCTCCACTTCTCCAGCCAGGAAGCTCATGAAGTGTCTGCATCTGCACTCTGTCCAAAGCTCTAGAATGAGATACAGCCCCACATCTCTATGGCAGCTTCCCAGTGTAATCAGCCAACTCCAGCATCTGAGAGGGAGTTGGACAAAGACATATCTGAACCCATCATAGCTGATGGCACTGAAAAGAATGCAGAATTAATGACTGCAGGAGGAACAGGAGCAAAAAGGCCAAGGGGAAAGACCTGGCCCAGCGCATCTACAGATTTGCCAGCCCCACAATGCCCCAGTGGAGTCTCACTTTCCAGCTGCTGCTTGCTAACTGGTCTCTGAAAGTCTCTAAGTTTCCAGAAAAGAGGCAACAGTTTCTTTATCTTTAGATCTGCTGTAGCATAGGTGTTTCTGACCTTCCATCCATCTCCATGATCTTAGCTGGAGCTGAGGAGGCCTCTTCTGCCTCATCTCTGCCACCCATATGATTGGAACCCAGCTCTGAGGCTGGCACCAGGATGCTTTGGTTTTATTTCTCTGAAACAAATTAACTGAAAAAAAAGACATGTAAATAGAAAATCAACTGTGGGAGGTAAATTACAAGGCTTCCCCTGACACATGCCACTTGCAAACCTCTACCAAATGATAACAGAGAATCTCCCTAGAAGAGGGAAAAAGGCAGGTACATGTCCTAACTGTGCCTAGAATTGAATCCCAGTAGTGGGTCTGTGTTCTACCTAGCCATTTTCTAGGGGGAGTAAGACATTGAAAGTCTGAGTTATCCCGAAAACTAGCCTGAGATATTCTGTCCCCAAGGAAAAGGTCACAGGAAGGAGGGAAATGTTCCACTACCCCAGCTTTGTCCCCCTCTTATGGACACTGATCATGTTGATTTGGAGACCTCTCATCCATTGCTGTCACAGGGTATCCCCACATCTATCCAGGCTATGAAATAGAAGTATCGATGCTATCACAAAGCAGCAAGCTTCTTGCTCTCTTTGCCATTCCCACTGTCACTGGCCAAGTTTTCGGGGTCCCTTCTTGGAGATCCAGGCTCAGAAATGGAGATGCTTTAGAATAGCCAAGCTTTGAGAGAGACTAACAAACAGGTGTACCTAAATGCAGTTATGAACCAGTTCATAAACTCTCAAGAGAAAGGAACCGTGAGTCAAACTAATGAAGCCTGAATCTGAACTTCACAGAAAATCCATGGTGCACTGGAGGGTTACATTCCCAGCCAGTGGTCCGATTATCTGTACACTTCTACACCTCTAGTTGCGTAGTCAATTAATCATAATAATGAATCATGTAAGATGGGATTAAATATAACCTTTTATAGCAACCCATAATACTGATAGACCCTTTCCTCACTCCAGGCTGCCTCGGGACCTGTGTTCCTCCGTGGTCTGGAATGTCATGGAATTTTAGACCTACCACGAGAAGAGGAAGATGAAGAGGAGGAAGAAGAGGAGGAGGAGGACAAATAAGAGAAAGAAGAAGGAGAAAAAGAACAAGAAGAACAAGAACAAAAAGATCTGTCCCTGGGGCTGGGCCCAGTGTCTCACGTCTATAATCTCAGCACTTTGGGAGGCCAAGGTGGGCGGATCCCCTGAGATTAGGAGTTTAAGACCAGCTGCCCAACATGGTGAAACCCTGTCTCTACTAAAAATACAAAAATTAGTGGGGCATGGTGGTGGGCACCTGTAATCCCAGCTACTCAGGAGTCTGAGACAGGAGAATTGTTTGAACCCGGGAGGTGGATGTTGCTGTGAGCCAAGATCGCACCACTGCTCTGGCACTCCAGAAGGGGGCAAGTGCTAAGGAAAAAAAAAAAAAAAAAAGCTGGAAAATGAAGAAGAAACAGTGACATCCAGTCTTAAAGATAAGAGCCCTGGCTGGGTGCAGTGGCTCATGCCTGTAATCTCAGCAGCTCACACTTGTAATCCCAGCACTTTACGGGGGCAAGACAGGCAGACTGCTTGAGCCCAGGAGTTCTAGACCAGCCTGGGCAACATGGCGAAACCTGCCTCTACAAAAGACGCCAAAATTAGCCAGGCATGGTGGCATGCACCTGTAGTCCCAGCTACTGAGGAGGCTAAGGTGGGAGGATTGCTTGAGCTCAGGAGGTCGAGGCCACAGTGAACCAAGATCATACCACTGTACTCCAGCCTTGTCAACAGAGTACAGGCCCTGTCTCAAAACAAGACAAACAAAACAAAACATAAGAAGCCGGGATCCAAGAAATGAAGAGCCAGGAGTGGCCTGGCCCCAGTGACCGGGAGGGCCTGCAAAACCACCATGTAGAGTGGCCTTCCAAGGGCTGTGCTGCGGGGGGCAGGGTGTCCCTCCAGTAGCCCCCTCCATCTAAGTCTGAGTGCTACGGGGTGTTGTGGGAGGCAATCCGAGAGCCTCTCCCCACCAACTCTCCAATTTCAGCAGAAGCAGGAGAGAAGGGCCCAACCTCAGGACCACATGAATTTCCCTTTGTGTGAGGAGAGAGGGTATGGGGAAAGACAATTTTATCACAGCAAATTACAAAGTGAAGAAACATGGATTCAGAAAAGTTATCTTTAAGACAATGATGACCATGTTTGAAGAGGCTTTTAGGGAAACACTTTCGGAGGCTTTGTAAGAAATGGACCAGGGAGGCCTTCTTCACTGTCTGGAGTCTCCTGGCAGATTCCCCCGTCGCCAACACAGGCATAAGCTGGCTCAAGAGCTGTCTGCACGATGGAGATCATGCTGTTGCATCCTCGTACCTGTACCTCCACCACATCGCTAGTTCCTTCTGCCGGCCCTCAAAGCCCTTGCATGCCCTGCACATTGCCTGTCACATGGGAGGCTCTGGATAAATATTCGTCCAAGGCCACAGAATAGAACAGCATGCCTTTATGAATCTCATTCGTAATAGAAGTTTCCTCCTGGACCCTAACACTCCTACATGTCCAGCTCCATCTGGGTCCTTTCTACATCTATCCCAGTTGCTCAAAGACCACGAGGGTGCCCATAGGTGGAGAGTATGGTTGGATGCTCTGTGTTCTTTGAAGTAGTCATTCACCTGCTTGCTTCATTTCTGACCATCTTGTCTATAAGTTTTACTTATTCTTTGTTTCCTCTCTTTACCACCACACTATGCTGAATGCATATGTGGGAAAGACAGTATAATTTTGGTCTCAACAGCCATAGAAAAATTAGAGAGAATAGGAGGTACCACCCCCTTCCTCTTTTTCCTCTGGAGAGGGAGAAAGGAGGGCTCTGAGTCCTAGAAACTGTGCTCCTTTGCCACAGGGCAGGCTTAAAAGACTTTTGTTTCTTAAAGTGTGTGATCTTGGAGACAAAGAAGTAGGTTTTCTGGAAAGAGGATGGTCCTGGGGCTTGGGATTGGACAGCAGAGGGACACAGCCAGACACTGGAGAGGGCGGGAAAGATTTACAAGACTGAGACGGGACAGAGATGGAGGGATCTTGAAAGTAGCAAGGATCCACTTCCTGCTCCCTTGCCTGACCCCTGGGAGGTGCTGGGACTCTGGGAACACCTCTCTGGGATGCATCTAGGTGCATCAACCCTATCCTATGCAAAAGGACCTTGGTCATAGCAAAGGCCCTCTGTGCCATCTTGCAGAGAGGCAGCTAAGCATCAAGGGACTAGGTGGGCTACAAAATTGGACATGTCCGTGAGGACTGAACACCAGAAGGTGCCCAGCAAATATCCTGTGCTTTTAAGATACTATGACCAAAACTCAAGGAAGGCATAGAGTGGGGAAAAAGGGTCCCCATTTTGACTAAGATAGAATTTTTCATTGGCCTGGTAGAATGCGGGCTGGGAATAAATTAAATTAGAATCAGAGAAGGAAAAATCCTTACCTTATATCTCATGTTGTAGAGTAAAATTCATACCCATTAAATCTAGTTAAAGTCTGCCCCACCACAACCTACACGTGGCTTACACTTTTTGGTTAAGTCCCCACACACCCCCAGCCTCATCTGCATTGAGTCTGACCTCAGGAAATGCCCACCCTGTGCTGACCTCCCCAGCAGCCCTGAACAGCCTCAGCAGGCTGATCCCAGACATTCCAAGCCAGATCTCCCTGTAAAATGCATAAGCCGACATTAGTTAGATGTTAACATCTCATGGGTTAACCCATTACTGTGCTGTGGCTTTACAATGTCAGAGTCTTGAAGCTTTGCCAGGAATGCTATCCAGCCTTCTCAGGGCCTCTGCTCTGAGCTGGCCCTGACTGTTCAAAAACACCTTCCCATTTCAGTCCGTTTCTGCCTCAAAATTGCAAACTGCAGCCCTCAGAAGTGTTCGGTTTTGTCCCCATATTTGTCCTCTGTAAGGATTGAATCTGATACGTGATTATAAAGTAATGAGACTGACTTTTCAACAAATCACAGGCCTTATGCATTGAGATGAATGCTGGCCTTCAAAGATGTCACCTTGGGAGGCTGGACACACACTTACTGCAAGGAAGCCATCATGCCAGATGCCATAGCTGGAATTTCTCTATGGAAATTGCCTGCAGGGACAATTAGCCAATTACAGAAGGAAACAGAGAATCAGTTGCACCCCTGGGCAGTAGCCATCACTCTCTAGTGGGGTTCACTGTTCACATGTCAGCCTCCCCGTAGTCTGTGTTCCCTTCCAGAGCATGCCTTATGCATCTTTCATACCCCAGGCAGTGCACAAAGCCTAGGCATACAGGAGGCATGTCATAAATCCTTGGCAAATAAACAATGGGCTCCTCATGGCCCAGTGCTTTCTTCCTTCCCCCTTCCTTCATCTCTCCTATTAGACACTTAATTATCTATATCTTTCTCCCTTTCTTGGAGCTTGAGTTATATCAAAAACTACCAAGGGAAGAAGCTAGAACTGACCACAGGGCATGGAGAGACTGAGGCTGTGTATCCATCAAGATGGGCTGGGTTATGCTGTGGTAAACAAAGAACTCAACGTCTCAATAGCCTAAGACTGTAAAGGTTAATTGCTAAATCTTGATACAGGTGTGAAGTGTGGAGATAAGGATGAGAGGCTCTGTTTCATGCGATCATCGCTCATTCCTTACCCAGGCCAGAAGAAACTACAATCTCAACAGAGATCTCTGGGCTCACATAGTATGGGAGGAATGGAGAAACAAGAGGTATTCACTCCAGCAACTAAATTCTCTATCTGAAAAAAACATAAGCTCTTTACCCATAACCCACAGGCCATAGCTAGCGTGGCAGGAAAGGGGGCAGGAAAGTAATTGTAATCCTCCCTTAATCGTGGAAGAAGAGGAGAACAAGATCAAAATAGAAGTAAGTGTTAGAATTACCTATTACAAACCATGTCTGGAAGCCAGCAAGAACAGATCAATGAAGACATCAAGGGTGGTAGATGGTCCCATTAATGGCCCCTCAATGGATCCTGCCCCTCAGATTGCATTCCCTTGTTTAATCCACTCTCACATCAACTTTGAGCTCAGCCATGTGGCTTTCGTTGGCCAACGGGACACCAGCAGATGTGATGCAAGCCAGAGATTTCTAAATGCTTGCACACTGAGGTTTGCCCTCTTGGAACACTGCCACCACAGTGTAAAAAGCCCAGGCTTTCTGCTAGAGAGGCCACATGGAAAAGAACAGAAGCACCTCAGTTGCTAGCCCCAGCCAACTGGAATGAATGTGAGTGAGGCCATCTTGATCAGTCGGCTCCCAGATGAACTGACTGCTGACCGCAAGCATATGACTGAGCCCAGCCAACATCATGTGGAACAGAGATAAGCCATCCAAGCTAAGCCTGCCCAAATTACTGAACCACAGAAGAGTGAGCAAATAAATGGTTCTTGTTTGAAACCACAAAAATTTGGAGTGATTTGTTGCACAGCAGTAGATAACTGCTAAAGCAATTTGTATCTAGTAGAGGGGTACCACCATAACAAAAACCTAAAACATGTGGCATTGGCTCTGGGACAACACAGCAGATAGGAGCTGGGAAGTCACTGAGTAGGTTGTTACTGAAGGCTGGAAAAATGGTGAACAATCTTTCAGTATGCTAGAAAGGAAGTGAGGAAATTGTTATTAGAGGCTGGAAAAGGGGCAACCCATGTTACGTAGCAGCAGAATAATTGCCAATAATGTTGTCTGCAGTAACTTGAAAGACAAACAGTACTTAATGAACGTATTGATTTAGTTAAGAAGATCTCTAGGCAAAATGTTAAAAGCATCAGTTAGATGCTTTCAGCTGTGTATGATAAGGTACTGGCAGAGAGGGATGAGCTAAAGAACCAGCTCTTTAGTTTTCAAGACTGTTCTAGAAGAAATATAAAAGGCCAAAAATTTACTGGTTTATAAAAATTAAACTAGTTCTGATTTCCAGTATTTTCGGTCAGGCAAAGGCTCTCAGATAAGAAATAACCTCAGCAGAAAGATCAAATCAAGTGTGCACTTATAAGACCCTTTGGTGAACCTCTGAAAGGCAGTGACTAGGAGACCCTCTCTGCTGGACAAAGGGGTTTCCGACAGTCTTAAATATATTGTCCCACAATAGATTAGCACACCCAAAGAGAAAAGTCTGTCTCAAAAATAATTATGGATAGAGCTACTGGGGCCATGGGGTGAACCCCAATAAGATTCATAGGAAACACAAAATTTTTAAGAGCCTTTAATCAGTGAAAGTACTACAAGTTGGACTAAAAGTGAAAGAAGTAACTCAAATAGAAGATAAGCCTCTGAGACTCCACTTTCTATGGGTAAGAATCCGGCTGGGAAAGCTACTTAGCTACCAACACAGATAATTTCCTATGGGACAAAAAATAAATAAATGCATCTTAGAGGATAGAACCAAGAGTCTAGGGAGAAGATCCAAGAGCTACAGAAAACAAGGGCCTAGGTATCCCTCTCAGGGAGCAGAACTAGACTCTCATCAAGGAACATTCTCTGACCCTTGTAAGGGAAGCCAACATCAACATGTAATCAGATAGACTTCATCATTGCTGTAGACCAGCAACTGCTTTGTTGCTCCTGGTCTCTCCATTTTAAATAGGACTGGCTCTTGGGTCTATCCAGTTCCTAAACCACTGCTGAGTTTTAGGGGTGTTGAGACAGAATGCTTGTCATTTAAATTCAAAGTCTCTGAATCAAGAGAAGCTGCACTTGGGGAGCCACACTGAGAGGTCTTATCTGTATCTGAACCTGATGCAGATCATGAGATAATACACTTCAAGCTTCATGCCGTAATGAGATGAAACTTTTGGGGGTCTTGGGAAAAGTGAATGTATTTTGCACATGACAGGGAGAGATTTGCTGAGGCTAGAGGATAGACTGTGGTACGCTGTTTCTAAAGATGGCCCATTTCTTCCATCCATGTTGCACATCCCTTTCTATGTGACTTTGAAGTTCCTCCCACTGAGAGCTGAGGCTCACTTCTTCACCCCTTTAATCTCAGATGACATTGTGACTTGCTTTGGGCAGTCAAATGTAACAAAAGTTATATGTAACTTCTGAACCCAGGCCATAAAAGGCCTAACAGCTGCCACTCTCATCTTGGAAAGCGGCCTCACCGTGTAAAAGAAAAACAGATTATTCTGCTAAAAAAGGAGAAACCATGTGGAGAAGAACCAGACACCCAGACACCCCAGACAGAACATCACTTCTGTTCTTCTCCATGTGGCCTCTCTAGTAGAAAGCCTGGGCTTTCTACAGTGTGGTGGCAGTGTTCCAAGAGGGCAAATCTCAGTGTGCAAGCATTTATAAATCTCTGGCTTGCATCATATTACATCACTCTTACCTAAAAGCCTTAGGTAAGAATGTGTAAGTGAGGCCAGACAAGCGAGTGAATCCAACCTGGGTCATCCAGCTGAGCTGCCAGATCACTGCAACCATAAAAGTGGGCCCCAGAAAAACCAGCAGAAGAACCAGCCAGCTAAGCCCAGTCAACCTTTCTGAAACTGTGAGGAAATAAATGATTATTGTTTCAAACCACTAATTTTTTGACATGGTTTGTTATGTATCAAGAAACAGACTAATAGTTCACTTAGCATCTTGTGCTATACCAAAGCCAACAATTTGGCCGGGCATGGTGGCTCACACCTGTAATCCCAGCAGTTTGGGAGGCCAAGGCAGGCAGGTCACCTGAGGTCAGGAGTTCAAGACCAGACTGACCAATATGGTGAAACCCCGACTCTACTAAAAATACAAGAATTAGCCGGAAATGGTGGCAGGCACCTGTAGTCCCAGCTACTCAAGAGGCTAAGACAAGAGAATTGCTTGAACCCAGGAGGCAGAGGTTGCAGTGAGCCAAGATTGTGCCACTGCACTCCAGCCTGGGTGACAGAGCAAGACTCCACCAAAAAAAAAAAAAAAGCCAATGATTCATAAACACTTATAAATGCACAGTCTCATCTGATTTCCTCCTTAGTGTGTGTGGTAGATGTTGCTATTATCTCCATCTATAGATACAGCATCTATAGAGATGCTATTATCTCCATCTATAGAAATAGAGGCTTAGAGAGGTTAAGTAACTATTCAGGACCACACAGCCTGTAAGTGAACCAGGATGCAAATTTTCCAACCCCAAAAGCCAAGGTACTATTTGTCTTTTAAATTCAAAGTCTCTAGATTAAGTGGAGATGCATCTGAGGAGTTATATTTGGGGAGTTTCATCTGCTGCTGAAACTGATGCAGATTGTGAGGTAATGAACCTCAAGTCTAATACTATAATGAGATATAATGTTTTTTGTCATGCCATTGGTGACTTTTAGATGCTACAGTTAGATAACATTAATGTAGTCTGGAATGCAAAACACTAGAACTTGAAGACTTTGCAAACAGAAGCTTTTCTGTGTGTAGGTAGACTAGTACAGGATGCAAAATAGACAGACTTTAATAAGAGCAGCAAGCACACCTCTACCTTCAGGCCTTTTAACTTGCTCTTTTTTCTGCATGGACCATTCTCAAAGGTATCTCTGAAACTTGCTCCTTTAACTCCTTAAAGTATCTGTTCTACATTGCCTTGTCTACAAGGCCTTCTCTAGCTGTCTCTGCCCCAGCCCATGCACAACCTATTCCTTTTCCTGCTTTGCTTTGCTCCATGGCACTTACCACCCTCTGACATGTTATTTGTTTTATTGGTTTATTTGTTAATCAATAGGATGTAAGCTCCATGAGGATAGGGATTTTTTATCTGTCTTGTTTAATAGTGCATCTCCAGTGCCTAGAGCAGTTCCTGACACGTGGTAGGTACCCCATATGCATGTGTTGAGTGAAGGAATAAATAGAACCTGGTTTTTCACAGCTTAGCAGTAACATCTTAGAGATACTTGAATTATAGAAGCCTATGTCTAAAAACTTTTATCTCCCTGGCTCTGTGGAACTATGTTTTGCGAGCCTCTGGTCAAAACAACCTCTCTTCACCCTCTGACTTCTGAAGGAAACTGCTCCCTGTCTTTGGCTTCTAACAAATGGGGCTCTTTAGTCCTGTTGCCCCCAATATCCTGAGCTCTGGACACCAGAATTTCAAGGCACTCATTTTTCTCTGTCTTTCTTTCCTGCTTTTCTGTATTTTCATCTGGCCTTGGCCACTGCCCCAGCTCTTATCTAACATGAGCTCCTGGCTGCACAAAGAAAGATGCAGGCAATGAGGTGATGAATAAGAAAAGGGGAAAACTTCTTTGCAAATTCCAAACAATGAACATCGAGAAATAAGCATTTCTGGGTGCTTTCCTCCCATGGCACAAATGGAGCTCCTGAGAAAAGAGGTGTGGACTCTTGGACAAACTCTGCCACATGTACTTGTTTCTTCCCTGTACCTTTGTTTATGTTGCACACACACATGCATGTCTACATGCACAGACACACATATGCATGCATACATGCATGCACACACGCACACCCCTACCTGAAATGCCAACCTGTAATGCCAGATCAACCCCATATCTCAAGACACATGTCTTCCTTGCTGCTTATTCTCATCACACCACCTAATATTACTTTTTCTTCCTTGAAATCTCTAACATTTATAGTCTATAACAATCTCTATCACTGAGGGTCCCA
The DNA here is from genome assembly GCF_000001405.40 of Homo sapiens. Taxonomy (NCBI): domain Eukaryota; kingdom Metazoa; phylum Chordata; class Mammalia; order Primates; family Hominidae; genus Homo; species Homo sapiens. The sequence continues at coordinate 118,249 of NW_017852932.1, forward strand.
GCAGGAAACAGATGGCAACTCAGCAGGGTATTTGAAGAGATGCTTTATGGAAGGTCTGTTTACAGAGGATGGAGCAAGAGTTAAAGTGACTGGGTTATTCTGGGTGCTCTGGGAGGAAGATGCCAAGACACCATTAAACATGCAAGGGTTTTTTTTAGGGGAAATGCCTGTGACAGAAAATGGGGAGGGGCCCAGGGAAAGCTGTAAGAACAGTCAGACCATGATGCAAGTCTGACCTTGAAGGAAGGACAGAGGAATAGAAGGTTAGATGGAAGCATCCTAAAGAATGATGCAATCTAAGGCAAGTTCAGGAGTCCTCAAGCCAACACTGGTCACCAGAGGAGTCCCTTGCCTCCCAAGAATGCATCTTCCTTAGTGTACCTGCCACATTCATTCTTTAGCTGAAAGCAGCCCATGGGAAATGTAGCCTTTGTGAAAATGGGATGCTGGATCTCAGAGACACAGCAGCTGCCTTTCTTGTTTATTTATGTGCCCTATAGTTAGAATTCCTCAAGGCACATTCTCATGGCTGCTACAGTCCACCGCTTGCACTGAGCAAACCTTCTCCACACAGATTTGGGCAGCAGCTGGTTTCATAATTTCATGAGTCCAGTAGGCCTTTCTTCCTAAGTAAGAACCAGGAGAGGGAGGTTAGTAGGATGAACTATTGCCCCCTCTTTGCAATTGACCTTAGGGCCATAACTAATGCCATTCTCCCCTTTCCCCACTGTCCCTTTTAAAGTTTCCTCAACCTCAGCTATCTTGGTGGTTTACCTGGATTCCACATGTATTCTTTCCTGTTCCTATTGTGTAAAAGCAGATCTGATTCTTCCTGCTAATCAAGGACACTGCCCCTGCTAGGATCATGACTCCTCCTATGATGGTAAGTGGAGCCACTCCTGCCTCTACAGGTTTGTTCTGGGGCCCTTGCTTCCTTCTTATGGAAGACATAGTACCATAAATGCCAATGGTTTAACAAATGGACTGCATCATGAATAATGATATCTCATTCCTTCAGAATGTTTCCTTTCAGCTGGGGCTTCAACTGTGCCTCTGGAGGGCTGTCCCAGTGTTGCAAGAGCATGGCTGCCTATGAGCAGGAGTCTGTGATAAAACCATTGGTTCCCTAGTTATGGTCCCACATTATATGAGACCTACATTCCCTAGTTATGGTCCTCACACCTCATTCAAGGTGACATGGATCCTCTGGTCAGATGCTGTGCTGTTATGAGATTCCATGCCTATGAATCACGCATTCTGAAAGCCCCCAGATAAAAATGCTGACTGAGATTTTGTGGGCAGGAAAGGCAAACCCAGCCCCAGAAAAGATATCTCTCCCTGGAGAAGGATTCACTGGCTCTTCCAGAATGGAAGGGAACCAGTGTAGTCAACTTCTCACTAAGTAGCCAATTGGTTTCCTTGAGAAATAGTGCCTGGTTGAATTGGACTCTGGCTAACAATGTGGACCTTCAGAAGCAGCAGTGGCGAGATAAGCCTTGGTAAGTGGAAGTCCATGCTGTTAAGTTCACACATATCTTCCTCTCTAATGCTGTAGCCACTCCACTCATGAGTCCATCGTGTCAATGTGGGGTGGCTGATTATGAAGGCAGGCTGCAAGGAACTGAACATCTCTGCACCCCCATCCCCTCCAAAATTCTTGTTTAAATCCTAACGTCCAAGGTGAGGATATCAGAAGGTGGGGTCTTTGGGGGATAATTAGTTCATGAAGGTGGACCCCTTATGAATAGTTTAGTGCTTTTATAAAAGAAGCCCCAGACAGTTCATTCTCCTCTTCTACTCTTCTACCATGTAAGAACACAGCAAGATGGCACCATCTATGAACCAGGAAGTTGATCTTTATCAGACATGGAATCTGCTGGTTCCCAGGGCTAGGACTTCACAGCCCCCAGAACTGTGAGAAATAAATTCCTGTTGTTTATAAGCCACCCAGTTCATGGTATTTTATTATAGCAGCCTCAACAGACTAAAACACTGGCCAAGGTTAACAGGTCAAGTCCTTTTGTCTACTCAGTTACCCAGTTGATAGCAGATACTTCATGGTGAACATATGATTCAAAAATCCTTATACTTGGTACCCATTCCCATATGTCTATCACATGCTTCTACCCATGTTGCCTTGCCTCTAGTCCTTTCCTTTTCTGACCCCTAACCAGGTAATTGACCACTTTCCTTTCCATACAAAGTAGATGACCAGGTGCACTGCTCAAAACTTCACCCACTGGGAAGATTTTCCCTCCCTACTGCCTTTTGGGGTCACCCTAAATGTGGGGGAAATGCAGCCACTGCCCATTTTTGGCTTGCACCCATGTAGAGTTGATCCACCTATAAACCAAGAGTAAACTATATTGCCTTGTCTTCCAGCTGATCATACAGGATTCCTCTCTATGGCCACAGGCAAAAGCTGGGAAAGTCCAACTGTGGTGGGTGACCAGGAGGTCTAGCAGGTTAGTCATACCCTCAGGTCCTACTCAAGCTCAACATCACATGTAATATTTCCACACCACAATAGATGGCTACTGGGCCTGTCTGACTTTATAACTTGGTAGCTGTGACAGAGCCCAGCTCATAACAGGCAGTTCTGGATGCATTGTCACTTGGTGTCCATCCATGTTTTCACTAGCATCCAGTAACATGCCAAGACCTATTTCTCAAAGGATGCATGATTCTCTACTGCAGATGGCATGACATGGGTCCACGGTCTCAAGGGCCTATGCTGTGGTTCTCCCGCCAGGGCTTCCCCACCTACATTTTCACCTTTTCCTCCTCCAAACCATTACTCCCTGTCCCCTTTCATCTTTTTATTTTAATCTCAAGACTCTATTCATTGACCTATTTAACATTGTATTCATTTTCTAGGGCTTCCATAACAAAGTACGAAGTGACTTAATTAAACAACAGAAATTTATTGCCTCACAGTTCTGAAGGCTGGAATCAAAATCAAGGTGTGGACAGGGTTGGTTTTTCTGAGGACTATGCAGGAGAATCGGCTCCATGCTTCGTCTTAACTTCTGCTGGCATGCTGGCAATCTTGATGTTCATTGTCTTGCAGAAGCACTCCCTCAACTACTGCATGAAACTTCACATGGCCTTCTCCCTTTTTAGAGGGACGCCAGCCACATTCGGTTAGAGGGCCACCCTATTCCAGTATGGTCTCATCATAACTAATTACATCTGCAACAATCCTGTTTCCAAATAAGGTCACATTCTGAGGCCACGGGGGTTAGGATGGCAACCTATAAGTTTGAGGAGATGCAATGTAACCCATAAAAAGCAACTTGATGTTCTCTCATCATTGAGCACCTCCCTCTGATGCTTCCTTTGCCCTGGGATGGAGACAACTGCCTCCCAGATCAGCCAGACATTGCTTTTCTTCAAATGGGGAGCTCTCAGTTGGACTGGTGATGAGCAGGAAGCCTCAGGCGCAATGGCCTTCAGAGCCCAGGCCAGGAACTTGGCTCACCACAGGCCTTGCCCTATCCCGACCCTCTCCATCCCAGGAGAGTGGAGTGCCCTGAAGCCTCCCACACTGCTGGGCCTCAGCACAGCCAATTCTCCACTGAGGCCCTTCTCCACGCTTGACCTTGTCACTCCACATTTCAATGTCTTCTTGCCAGACATGGTGTGAAAAGATGCTTTTTAAAAGAAACTGGGCTGAGTGCAGTGGCTCATGCATGTAATCCCAGCACTTTGGGAGGCCAAGGCCAGGAGTTCAAGGCAGTGCAGTGAGCTATAATTGTGCCATTGTACTCCAGACTGGGTGAGAGAGCAAGATCTTGTCTCAAAAAAATTAAATTAAATAACTGAAACTGTGTTATAGACTAAGTGTTTGTGTCTCCCCCACCCCCATCTCCCCTGAATAACCCAAATGCAGTTGTTGAAATCCTAAATCCCCAGTGTGATGGTATTAGGAGATGGGGCCTCTGGGAGGTGATTAGGGCCTGAGGGTGCAGCTCTCATGATAAGATTGGTGCCCTTATAAGAAGAAATTCTCTTTTCCTAAGTACTTATCAATGATAGAATGAATAAAGAAAGTGTGAGGTACATATACACCATGGAATACTCTGCAGCCATAAAAGAGAACGAGATCATGTCCTTTGCTGGGACATGAATGGAGCTGGAGGCCATTATCCTTAGCAAACTAACTCAGGAAAAGAAAACCAAATGCTGCACGTACTCACTTATAAGTGGAAGCTAAATGAGGGGTGGGAGGAGGGAGAGGATCAGGAAAAATAATTAATGAGTACCAGGCTCAATACCTGGGTGATGAAATAATGTGTACAACAAACCCCCAAGACACAAGTCTATTTATGTAACAAACCTGCACACGTATCCCCGAACTTCAAATAAAAGTTAAAAACAAGAGAAGAAGAAACCTGAGAGAACTCACTTCCGGTCTCCTGTCCCTCTGTGCTCCACCATGTTAAGATACAATGAGAAGACACCTTTCTGAAAACTAGAAAGCGGCCTTCCCCAGACACTGGATCTGCAGGCAACTTGATCTTGGACTTCCCAGCTTCCAGAACCGTGAGAAATAGACATATGTTGTTTAAGCCAGTCAGTCTATGATAATTTGTTATGGTAGCCTGAGCTGACTGAAACAAGCTATGCCTCCCTAAAAACCATGCAGCTGGACAGAGCTATGAAAGAGCCCAGGTGACTTCAGAATCCCCACACGCACCCTTTCATCATTCTCATTAGGCCTTTGCAAACTCCCATTTCAGGGAATTGCCTGTCCCTAAACAGCATTATAAACAGGCAGCATAATAGAATAAAGACAGCACTGAGCTAGGAATCAGGGCACCTAGGGTCCAGCCCAGGCTCTGTCATTAGGCACCTGGGTGACGCTGGGCAAGTCACTTCGGCTCCATGATTCTCATCTGTAAAGCAAGCAGGCAGGCTCATGACTATTCCATGGTCTTTAAGTTGCCTTCAAGCATGAAGGCCAATGGCTCAAGCCTATCTGACCATTAATTTGTCCAAAGAGAAAGGGATATATTTACATAGTCAGGACAGCTTGTTTTTAAAACTGCCCCTTTTCTCTGAAAGTAATTGTGAAAGTGCAGAGATAAGACCCTTTGGTTCTTGTATAAAATTCAGGATCTTGAGTATTTTTCTTAAATATGCTTCCTAGTTATCTGTTACTGCATAACAAGCTATCCCATAATGTAGTGGCTCAAAACAAAATATATTACCTTTCACAACTCTGGACTGACTGAGTTCAGTTGCACAGTTCTTGCTTGGGGTCTCTCATGCAGTTACACTCAGGTGGAGCTGGAGCTGAGGTCACTGAAGGCTCAGCTGGGCTGGACATCTAAGATCCCCTCCCAAAGCCTGTCAGTTGATGCTGGCTGCCAGGCAGCCTCTCAGGTGGGGCACTAAGCAGAGCCCCTTCATGTGACCTCTCCGTGTGTGTTGGACTTCACCCACTGAGGAGTGGGTTCTGAGAGGAAGTGTCCCCAAGGGTGAGTGTTTACAGAAGAGAAGCAGAAACCACAAAGCTCCTAGGACCTGGCCTTGGAAAACCCAGAACATCATTTCCACCACATTCTGTTGATCAGGCAAGTCACTAAAGGCAACCCAGATTCAAGGGGAGAGGAATTTGTTCCACTTTTTCATGGAGAAGTGTCAAGGTCCCATTGCAGAAGAGCGTGTCCCCTCTCAGTATCAAATTCTCCCTTTGCAAAATAGTGGCTCTAAACCAGGATCATCTCCCATCCCCTTTTATTCTTCCAAGAAATTACTCCTGCCAGTTCTTCAATCCTCAAGAGAACCCCATTCTCCCTGACTCACTTCTCTGTTCCCCTACACACCCAATATCACATGTACCCTTTCTCTCTGCCCCTTCTTAACTTGGGCCATCCCCTGGCCATAGCCTCTCCCAATGCCCCCTCATCTTGGAATAAGAGCACCAGCACCACCTCTTCCTGCCTGGGGAGGTCAGGTCAGCAAGTGACTGGACGCGAAGGTGTGGTAGGCACCTGTGACGGCCCAGGTGTGCCAGCAATGTCTGGCAAGGCCACCCTTCTGAATCAAGAGCAGAATCCAGAGAAGGAAAGCATGTATCTTGTGAACATTTATTATATGCCAAGAGTGAGTAAGCAGGAAGCTTATGGCCACCATTAGTGTACAATGAAGCAATTCCAGAGTTGATAACGTTTCAGCAATTTCGCATCTACAAAACCCTCTGCCCAAGGGAAGCCAAATCTTGCTGTGTATGTGCATGTGTGTGTGTGTGTGTGTGCTCAAGTTTCAGAAACTCCAAGTGTCTTTGGAATCTTCATATGGATCTAGGAATTCCATGGGGTCCTAAGACCTAAGCCATGTATCATGGAGCTCTCTGATCATTGCCTTCCTGGGAGGCCACAAGATATCCAATCTTGTGCACCGGATGAGCTCCCAGAGTTAGCCCTCTGGCCAAGCCCTGGGAGTGATCTGATTACATCTCAAATGTCTCAAAAGTGTCCTAATAAGAACTGAACCGCCCTGCTAGTTTCAGTAGAAAGGATCCCTGTTCCCATCACCATTCCTTTGTAAAGAGGCCAGCCCCAGAGAACACTTTCATTATCTAATCATCTTAACTTGCATAATTATTTCCCTAAAAGTACAATTAGCAGATACACATCTGGGATTTAAATATATAGATAGCACAGGCTAATAAAAATAATTGTATCACATACGGGAAAAGAAGCTGAAAAAAAAGAAGAGAGACAGTAAAAGATTTAGGAAAAGACACAGGCAGAAGTGAAACAAACAAAGCAGTCATGAGGAAAAGCGTGGGGAATTAACGGGAAGGAGAAAGGCAAAGGAGAGAGAGATGCTTAGAAGATAAGCGGTAAAACCCCATGAAAAAGCATTACTGACCTTCCATCCTAGCAGCAGGTGGGGCCAGAGCCCCATGTGCTGGTCAGAGAACCCCATGGAAAGAATCCCAGCCAGTATCTCCAACTCAGGACACTGCTCCTGCCCCATCTTCCTCTGCCTCCCCAGTGCCTTATCCTCAGTGCCTCCCTCACTGCCTCATCTCTCCAGGACGACAGCTTGTCTGATGATGAAAATGCTGCCTCCTAGGCCCCACCCTTAGTTCCAGAAACCAGAGCTTTTAGAGAAGTAACCTTTCCTACCCCGGTACCCTGGTGGGGCTTCTGGACACTGCACTGCAGGCTGAGCCCCATGTCCTGGGATCCCACGTGTCTGGGAATGGGCATCAGGCAGCCAATTGCACTCACTCCTCCTTCTTACGGCCCTAGAGGACATGAGCATGCAATTCAGAACGTCCTCGGAGGACCAGAAGACCCATGGCAGTGATGAAGTTTCTCACTTCCTACAGTCACAGAGGAGACGTGGTGAGGACTAAGCCCAGGGTCTGAGAGTAAGGGCTGCAGAGCTGTGGAGTCAGTTAACTCTCATCCCTACCAGACCTCTGATGACAAGGTAAGGGCACTGGCAAAAAAGCAGTGGCACTCAGAAATCAGATGGGGAGATTTAACTGACAGAGCAGACAAATTCCATCTGCCAAATTCCCCTAAACCTTCCTAGCTCTCCAGGGTGGGGTGTTAACAGCTCCATGCAGGTGGCCCCAGGGCCATGCACCATCCATCACATGCTGCCCACACTGTTGTCATCAGTCCCTTCGTAAATTAAGCATCTTAAAATTATCCCAGGGTGAGTATGCCAGCTGTTTTCTATGGGTGCCCTAACTGATACAGGTGTTAATAAATGTTAAGAGGGGAATGGAGTTCTATGGCCTAATACATTTGGAAAAGTCATGGCTAATGAGGTTTTCCAACTGCAGAGTTTAGTCAAATACCAAAAGTACTGATGCTTTTTATTCCTGTTTCAGTAGGAGACTGAAAATAATTGGAAACCCTAATCCAAAACTAAGAAGTTAGATGTTAGCTAATCTTCATCTCAGTCTGGTTCCCAGTGCCTGACAGTAGAGTTAAGAGTATTTTATGTTTCTGAGGAAAAACAACAACAGAAGCTGATACCAAACACATGAAAGGCAACCCCCAAATGAGATTTAGTTCAAGAGATGGAGACCAACTAAAGTGGAAGGGTAGAATTTCCCAGGCCCTTGGGTGATGTATGGGGATAGACAGAGATGGGCATCCTGGAGCAGTAGGACTTGAGCCCCAATCCCTACAGTTCCATAGGGTGGCCTGAGTTCCAATGGAAGCTCCAGTATCCTGATGCCCAAGGGAAACATACATGGAGTCAGTGGCTTGAGAACCTTGGCCAAGATCCCTGTGCCCAATGTTGGCATGGAAACAGCAGAGCCATCCACTGTGCAGGGCTCTCATCAGTGACTATAAGGGACTTGTGGCCAGAGAATCATCCCCAAACTTCCTATGGCTGTCATCTCCCCAGAGACCCTGTGAAATCCCAGACAAAGGGGAAACATAAGTCTGATTGATCTGTTGCCAGTCAGAGGGAAGCAGAGGTCATCCCTAGATGCCTGGCTATGACCCCTGTATTCCACCATGGTGCAGATGCTTTCCATCACAGTGCAGGTGCATTCCATCATGTTGCAGGTGCATTCCATCATGGTTCATGGGCTCTTTTCAGTAGGGCTTCCAATCTGCTTGTTGATTTAATGGCTTAATTCCAAGTGGTTGGAAAATAGCCCTAATGCAAGGATAACGGGCAGAAAACTTTAGGGGCGGTGTTCCTTCCTATATTAGCCAGTCACAGCTCTCACTGTGCAGTCCAAATGGCACAGCCAATTTGTCCAAAACTGATAAATTAGGTGCAAAACCAACCAAGTGTTCCAATCACTCCTCATCAACTAATATCTAGAACGAAGAGCAGTTCTTACCTACCCACCTTATGGAAATCTATTTTCTGGCCTCCTTCCCTCTCTCCCAGAGGGATCCTCTGTTCCTTGTGCCCCAGGATCAGCATTGGACTTGATAGTTCCATGTGTCAGACCTGGAATTACTAATTAAGTCAACAGGTCTTCATGGAATGCCTGCCACATTAGGCAACAATGGGCATACAACAGATTGCATAGCATTTTTTTTGTACCAAAATGTATACTAGGTTTTCTGATTAAAATGCTAAATTGAGCGTGCGAAACCCTCTAATGTGATGAAATAAATGATAAAAGCCAGCAGGGAAACAGAGAATGAGACAGGAGTCAGTAGCAGATAAGATATTTCAATCCACTTTTTCAAGGTGGGGTGGGAAAAGAGGAGCAGCAACTGTCCTTGCAGAGTTGAGAAAGCTGTGCTCTGAGAGCCTCAGAGGGTGCCTGTGAGGCAGGAGCCAATTCACCCAGCAAAGCCCGCAGAAGGCTTGGCGATGGGAGGCACTGGGTACCTCAGAGACAGTGGAGGGGCTGAGCTGAGAAGGAGATGTTGGTTGAAGTCAGTGTGTAGAACAATTAGACCCCCAGGTCTCCTCCAACCCTGAAAAGCCACCTCTCTATTTATCCTGCCCAGATGGTGGAGCAGAGGCTGATCCTGTAGTTCTATTGAACTGGAAAAGCTACAGGTACAAGTGCAGGAACACCTGAAAAAGCAGAAGACAGAGTCGAGTCTCACAGTTAGAAACAGACATGAAATTCTCTATCTTGAATAGTGAGAAACACACTCTCTAACTCTGTTTTTCCACCCAGGTCCAAGAATCAAAAAAGGTAGGTATACAAATAACAATAGAGATGAGATAAAAGAAGGAAAGAGAGAGAAAGAGACAGACAGAGAGAGACAGAGAGAGAGAGAGAAGAGAGAGAGAGATCCTGGTAAGCAGCTGACTTTTTTGAAGAAAGAATTCTCCTGTCTCCTCACACCAAAAAATAAAAAGATCTATATCCTGCTTGGTGCTTGATCACCCTACAGGAAAGCCAATAATAAGTCCTCCTCCCCTAATATGAATCATACACACACACACACACACACACACAGAGAGAGAGAGAGAGAGAGAGAGAGAGAAAGAGAGAGATAGTTTCCAGTGATTTTTTGGTGATATAGATGACAATCATGGAATATGGAAAACAACAACGAAAATTAATAGAACAAAAAACTAAAGAAAACAATGCAGAGAGCAGATTAAATTTTCCAAAAAACTTTAATTAATATCACTTAACGTAGAAGAGAAAATATTGCAGCCATTGAACAAAAAAAGGATGTAATTTTTAAAAAGAACAAAGAACAGAAAACACTCTTGGAAGATAAAAGTGTGATTGCTAAATTCAAAAATTTAATAGGATAATTGAAAGACAAAGTCAAAGAGATCACCCATAATGAAGGAAATAAGAGACAAAGATGAAAAGTAGAAAATAAATTTAGAGGACAATCCAAGAAGTTCAACAATTATCTAGTGGACATTGCAGAAACAGAGAACAGACAAAAATAGAAGAAAATAATCTAATATGTGCTACAGAAACATTTTCCAATGAACTGACATGAGTCCCCTGTTTGAAATGATTCTGATTGCCCAACATATTAAATAAAGACTTCTCATCAAGGTTCCTCATCATGAAATTTTAGAAAAACAGGGCTAAAGATAATATCTTAAATTCTTGCAGAAAAGAAAAACATAACATCAAAAGATGTGAATTAAGAATGACAACTGACTTTTCAATAACCACAGGAGAAGTCAGAAGACAAAATTCTGAGGGAAATGTATTTTCCATCTAGAATTGATTTTCCAACTAAACCACAAATTCAGTATAAGGATAGACTAAAGACATTTTTAGACCTCTAAGGTATATTCAGCATTTCAGGAAGCCCCTAGATATGTGGCAGAAGATGTGGAGAAGAAATCCAAAAAAGAGGAAAACATGGATCCCAGGAAGCAGGGCTCCAGACAGGAGAATGGAAAAGCTAAGTCCTCAGATGATAGAAAAGGAGAGTCCCAGATGGTGGCTTTGCAGCGGGCCCAGAGAGCAGTTCCAGATGGAACTGGTTCTATGGAACATCATAGAACCATAGCAATTGGAGGTCTAGTGTGATTTTCCAGTCTCCTGTGGATGCACCGCATTGTCATGAGTCTTTATGTGTGTGTGTTCCTCTCCTATTCACAGCCTTCCCTGATCTCCTTCAACTCTAACCTATTCCCTTCCTCTTCCCCTTCCCCTCACCATCGTCCTTCATAGGGTAGGCAGTGTCTAACTTCAGATCTTTCTGGTTCAAAGCCAACCCCTTCACCTCTGCTCTTGATCATCCTTTCCCATCTCAATCACTTGCACCCATTCACTTTGCATTATATAGGCATCTCTTTCCCCATTTGCTCCTTCCTTTCAAGTCTAAAAATCTATGTCACTTGAAATTATCACCTTATCTTTCCCTTTCTCTTCTATTCTGAACTTCTTGGGGGTGGGGGGAAAGGTCTGCACTCAGTGTCCCCACTTTCTTATCTCCTAGTCACTCTTTAACGTAAACTTGCTGTAATGTGTTTCTGCCCACATCTAGCCAGGGACATTATTCTTGCCAAGGACACCTCCCAACTGAAACGAATGCTTCTCAGCTTTCATCTGACTTTATTCTTTGGCGCATGTGGTTCCTGTGACTGAAAATTCTTTCCTTTCTCTCTCTCTCTGTGGGCACATCCTTTTTTGCTTCTTTCTCCTTCCTTTTGGACAATCCATCCACTCATCCAGAACACACTCATTGAGCACCTACTCTGTGCAAGGCTGGGCACAGAGCTCACAGGCTGGTGGAGGAAACAGCCATGGAAACCAGCACATTCTGTAAAGTGTTACAGATGCAGCGATGGAGGTCACAGGGGATCCAGGGGAGCACAGAGGAGACAATTGCTCCCACTTAGGGGAGAGCTTCGGAGATTGCTGAAGGATGACTGAGCACCCTCTGGAAAGACAAGGAGAGCTGTGCAGACCTGGAGGGACTGCAGAGGAAGCAAATGTTGGTAGTCCCACATGGCCTGGGACCCCAGCCCCTGGGAGATGTGTGGAGTGGCTGGACGACAAGGGTGAGAGGTCTTCTCAATCACCTGGTCCTCGTCCTCCACTAGCTCCCTGAAGACGCTGTCCCATCATGGTCCCCCTTGTCCCTCTTTTCTTCCCCGCTCACAATCCACTCCCTGGGGGTCTCTCATTCACCGCTGTCTAGATGCATGAAATTAAACCCATTCTCCTCCTGTGCTCTCTGTTATGGTTAATGGTGTCATATCTCTCAGCGACCACAGACACTTAGGAGTCATCTGGACTCCCCCGTCCTTCCCCCCACACCTTGCCCCAGCAATATCCAAGCCCCATCAATCCCCACATCCCTCTCACATCTGCCCTGTGAGGGCTGTGGCCAGGCTCTCAGCATCTCCAAGGTGAACTATTATGAAAGCCTCTTAACTGCCTCAAACCTCATCCTCCCTCTCCATGCAAGCCACCAGGGGATCTTTCTAAAGCTCAAATAGGATAAAACTCTCTCCTTCACTTCCTCTCACCACAGCAGGCCACCTCACACTTTCCCAAGGGAGCTCCCCTAACCTAGCAGAGCTGGGGGCCACACTCCCTCTGAGGGCACCAGACTGGAGCCCAGTCTGAAAGTTCTGCCAGGATCCACTCAGGCTGGTTCCAGTGTTATGATAATTCTTTAAACTACCTATTTACAGAATCACTCAACCTCCTCCCCAAAGATGTTTAAGTATAATTGATACCCCAGGAAGATTGCTCTGCATTTATTTCTCCTGGAGCTTTGCATTCTGTTTGGCACAGCACCTCATGCCACCATATCTACCCATTTCCCCCACTGAGGAGCAGGGGAATGGCAGCTTCTCAGACCAGCACACAGGCCCTTCCAGTCTGGACCATGCCTGGCCTCCCCTACCACCTCTCACCATTACCACCTCTCACCTCTCCCCACCTTGGACTCTGTTCCAGCAATACACTTCTGTACCTCAGACTCTGTTCCAGCAATACACTTCTGTACCTCAGACTCTGTTCCAGCAATACACTTCTGTATCCTCACACTCTAGAACTGGGCCTACATAGAAAAAAAATTTCAGTAATTATCCTCCGGTTTGGAAATTGTCTTCAACCAGAGGGCCCCTCTCGCTTTAAAACTTCAGGGCTCCCAGCCTGCACTGGACTTCTAGAAAACTCACCAAATTGTATTGTTACTTTTATTAAAGTAATAAATTTCTCACTTTTTATAAAGTGTACATGTTCTTGTTTTCTTACAATAGTAATACAAGAAAAAAACAAAAAATGCAACAACCCTCAACCCTCAAACTCTCATTGCTGCCAGAATAAGCCAAAGTTAACACTTGAACATCGTTTCAGACCTACTTCTATTCTCAAAGCTTTGTGATTTTCCATGTGTCCATCTGTGGCACAAAGCAGTGAGCTCCTTAGGGGCCCGGTCTTACATGCCCAGCACCCACAGAATGCCTCATGTGTGCACTGAGGGGTGGGGACTCCCTAGAAGTTATGTCTCCAGCAGCAGGAGACCCCCCCCCCAACCGTGCATGAGCCTCCCCTCCTTCATTGACCATCGGCTTTGAGCCCAAAGCCCTGGGCTCTTCCAGTCCCCCAGCTCCACCTCCCCACTGCATCACCCACCCTCCCCACCTATTCCTAAGTTCCGCTCTGGGGTACAGATTTGGCAGATGAGACTCTGGTGACCCTTCTAATTACAGGGGAATTGACAAGATTCGGTGAAGAAGTGTATATTTTTAGCCATGGTGAAGAGAAAGGAGATCAAGAGAGAATATGGTCTGTCGGAACTTTCCTCAGCTCCTGCTCCTGAGCTCAGCAGGCTCCCAGGGTCTTGAACTTGAAAAGTTTTGGAAAGCAAGCAAGCAAGAAAGAAAAAGCTCTGGGGAGGGAGGGGAGGAAAATGGTTAACATTGATGTGAGAATATCTGTTTTGGAGAAATTTGCAAAACAGTGAAATGTGTTTACTGTTCAATGTGGGAGCACTAACAAGAAATAGATACAGAGGCAACGTGACGCTAACTGCCTTTGACACTGGTGATGGCCCTTTGGTTGGAACAAATTCACCCAGTGCTGAAATGGATTATTTCACACATCTGTTGTCTTGAGAGCCACCCTTTGCAAATATTCTAATGCCCAAGTTGGCTCATCTGTCCACTTACTGATTTATTTGAAGGCAGATTGGTGCGGAGAAGTGTCAGGCAGGAAGAACCCTGCAAGGATCCAGGGGCTGGAGGCTGGGGAGGATGAGGTCAGCTGATGGGAATCACACCCAGCTCCAGGACCTTGGATCAGGTGGAGCATCGTGCTCTAGGGCCATCTTGGAGCAACGATTCCCAAGAATCATTCTGACCTGCCAGTCAGAACAATGCCATTCATTTAATCTGCCCTGCCATTGCTATTCATTTAATTTTCACAGCATACAAAGGGGAGGGAACTCTTATCCCAATTTTACAGATAAAGAACAGAGGCACACAGATATAACGTTGCCCAACATCAGTGACACTGTTTGGTGGCAGAGTTGGCATGTTGGCTGAAGTCCTGTGTCCCCCACTGCCTGACACTTTCATATGTCCTAATCCTTGAGAAAGGAAATCAAAGCCCTTCTCTCCAGTCAACAAAGCCACACTTTGTCAATACAGCTCATGAAGGCCACCCACACTCGCCATCTCTCTCTCCACCTGGGCCTGGCCTGCAGTACTCCCCCACAGGCAAGCTGGGCCCTGGGCCCAGTTTTCATACAGACACAGGGTTTCAATTTAAGGGGTTGGGAGACTAGGCTAATACTGCCTATGATATTTAGAATAATAGTGTCTAATTACATCTTTCTAGTGACTGATTTTTTTAATGCTTCAAATATATTTTTGAAAATAGGCAGCATTGATATAGTTCATGAATGACAATCAGGTACCCACATCCATGACAACTCGCAATGACTGGTTAACAGCTTCCTGGGATGGGCTCTGAGTTGAGAAGGGTTCTGAATTCCAGGTTCTGTGGGAAAGAGTCCTGGAGTAAATGCATACCATTTTCTATGAGCATGAAATGATTAAGGGATGGCTTAATGGCTGCATACAATAGAGTCACATTATAAACACATTTAACTCAGATGCATGCAATCATTCAGATTCTACAAAAAGGCAGAGAGAAAGAGCAAATTTTTTAAGTGTGAGTGATTCTACCCATCCTTACATTCAGTTATCACATCCCTTTGAGTGAGGAAAGAATGGGCTGTCAACCTCCTTACACATCTCCTGGCATGAGCATCTTACTACACTAAATGGGATTCTGGTGTTTGAAAGAAATAGCAAGCATTTTTCTAAAACACACCTGATAAAACAAAATTCTCATAAAAGAAATCAAAAACTAAATGAAGAGATGTTCCATGTTCATGGATAGGAAGACTTTATTGTCAAAAAATCAATTCTTTCCAACTTGATCTCTAGATTCGATGCCGTCTCAATCAGAATCCCATCAACTTGCTTTGTGGATATTGACAAACTGATTCTAAAGTTTATATGGAGAGGTAGAAGACCCAAAATGGCCAATGCGAAATTGGAGAAGAACAAAGTCAAAGGACTGAAACTACCTGACCTCAAGACTTACTATAAGGCTACATTAGTCAAGACGATGGGCAAATTGATCAATGGAACAGAGGGGAGAATGTAGAAATAGACCTACACAAATTTAGTCATCAGATCTTTAACAAAGGAGCAATGGCAACACAATGGAGAAAAGATAGTCTTTGCAAAGGAGTGCAAATTAAAATAATAGGATACTACTTACTACCTATTACATTGGAGATTATTTTTAATATGGAAGTTAGGACAACATGCCTTGATCACAATTTTATAAAACATACCACAACTTTTAAAATATCCATCAATTCCACTTTAATTATTGGTGATTTGCACAATGTAAAATAACAAGAGGTGAATAAAATTAAACTAATAGATATGTTCACTGCAGCAATAATAACAATAATAGGAAATTCTAAAACAACCACAATATCCAATAATGAAAAGACAATTCAATTTAGTACAATGTATACGGTCATTGAAAATGATGTTATAAGTATTTAATAATCTGAGAAAGTATTTATAATCTGGACAAGGCTATATTGCATTGTTGCTTTTGTGTAAATCCTGTAGGATTTTCTACAAAGACAGTTACATTAACTGAGAAAAAAAGTTCATATATGGTATTAAAATCATAAAAAAGCACACTTTTATGCTCTCCTCCCAATATTTGTTCATAGTTTATTTCTACATATTTGAGAAACTACACAGTACATTGTTATTACTTTTGCATTAAACAATAAATTACATTTAAAGATATTTAAATAATAAGAAAACCTACTTTTATGCTTATCACTGTAATTACCAGTTCTACTACTGTTTATTTCTTTCTGTAGATCCAGATATTGAACTGGTATCATTTGTCTTCTGCCCAAAGGATTTCCTTTAACATTTCTTGTAGTGCAGATCTGCTGATAATTAATTCCTCCAGCTGTTGTATGTCTGAAGAAGTCTTTATATTCCTTGTATTTTTGACAAATATTTTCACTTGATTTAGAATCCTAAATATGAAAGATTTTTCCCATGTACTGTAAAATAGTATTTCACTGGCTTCTGGCTTAAGTTGTCTCCAACAAGAAGTCTGCTGTCATCCTCATCTTTATTCCTCAGTATGTAATGTGTCTTTTTTGCCCTTGCCTGCTTTAAGGATTGTCTCTTTACCACTGGTTTTAATGAATTTGATTATGATGTGCTTTGCTGTAGCTTTCTTCATATTTCTGATGCTAGGATTTCATTGAGCTTCTTGGATCTATGGGTTTATAGTTTTCATCAAATTTGGGGATTTTTTGGCTATCATTGCTTCAATTTTGTTTGTCTTTTCCCTCCCACTCCTATTTTCCTTTATGGACTACAATTACATGTATATTAGACAGCTTAAAATTGTCCCACAGCTCACTGAAATGAAACTTTTTTTTCAGTTTTTTTCTCGTGTGTTTCATTTTGATATCTTCAGGTTCATAAATTTTTTATTCTGTAATGCCCATTCTGTTATTTGTATCTGGGGTGCTGTTCATATTAGACATTATAGTCTTTATCTCTAGAACTTCAATTTGGAACTCTTTTTATCTTGCATGTCTCTAATGAACATTCTGAAATTTTCTTCTACCTTGTTGAATACGTAGATAAAATATGCTAAGTGTATTAATGTCTCTATCTATTAATGCTAACACCTGTGTTGTTCAGGAGTCAATTTAGATAGATTGATATTTCTTATTATTGTAGCTTCTATTTTCCTGCTTCTTTGCATGCCTAGTAAGTCTGTATTGGGTATTAATCATTGTGAACTTTTCATGGTTGGGTGTATATTTTCACATTCCAATAAATACTATTGAGTCATTTTCTAAAATGAAGGTATGTTAAATAAAAATAGTTTGAATCTTCTAAGTATTGCCGTCAACTTTTATTAGGCAGTACCAGACCAATTTTTAGTATAGGTATAATTTTTTCCCATGAATGAATTAAAGGTCTTCTGAATATACTACCTTATGCTCAATGAATTGGGTAGAATAGTTTGTGGGGGGTGTGTGTGTGTGTGTGAGTGTGTGTGTGTGTGTGTGTGTATGTGGTGGTGTTGTTTATTTTTTACTGTTTCTGGTGGGAACAAGACTAATTCTGGCCCTGTGTGGGCTTTGATATTGCTTGTTCTGATCTCTTCGGGTCATTCCTTCTCCAGCTTCAATTGTTTTCTCATTCAGGTGTGCTGACCAGTACTCAGCTGAAGACTTATGAGTGACCTACTGAAATCCACAGAGCTTTCTCTTTCCCTCACTCCTCCCCAACTTTGAAGCACACCATCCATATGTTTGCATACATGCACGTTCATTCTCCCACTCTCCCCACAGCCCCACCCCGCCACACACACACTCTTTTCTCTCTGGAAATTGCCCCGGCCCAGCTTCCTTGATATCCCCCAGATCCCAGCTTCAAATTCTCAACTCAGGGAAAACCCTGGGTTCCATGTGGTTTTCTTCTCTCTCTGCTACGGCCTGAAATCTCTCTTCAGGTGGTAACCTGGGGAAACAATCGATATTATGTCATCTGTTTCCCATCTCTCAAGGTTTGCTGTTGCCTGATCTTATGTCCAGTCTTGAAAACTGTGGTTTTATATCACATGCACACATATGTGTAGATGTGTACGTATGTATGTATGTATACATTCCTCCATACATATATGTATGTTTCTGTGTATATATACACGTACATACACACATACATATAGTATTTTTTCCTTTTTTCCATTTGTTTCAGATAAGTGTATAAGTCAGGACCTTGTTTCTTTAGCCAGAAGCAGAGATCATGATTTGTATAATTTTATTTTCCAAGAGGTGTAAGCTCTTACAAGCCAATATAAAGAACTTTCGCCACAGAAATTTTATATGTGAACTTCTAAGAGAGAGAGACACAGAAAAATAGAGATTCTCTATGAAAAACTACTTTTTGTAGTATACAAACTAGGACTACTTAAAACAGAGGAAAAAGTTAAATGATAAAATTAAGGCAGCTGGCCTGTAATCCCAGCACTTCATGAGGGTGATGCAGGCAGATCACCTGAGATTTTTGAGGACTTATTACTACAAAAACTGGTTGGCTTTATATTAAAATGATCATATTTTACATATATTGGGGTAAATAAAATAGATTAAATAAAATATATTTTTAAAAATAATTTCACTGGTTTCTTTTTAATCTTTAAATTTTAATTTGTATGTGTGTACCTCACATTGTATTTCTTTTGGACAAAGCTAATTCAGAATATAAAAGAACTCTTGAAAATCAACAATAAAAAGATGGGAATCTCAACAGAAAAATGGGCAACAGATACAAGCAGGTAATTTATAGAAGGAAAAATGAAAAAATAATCCAAAACAAGCATATGACTATCTGCTCAAAATAATTAAGAATAAGAAAAATGCAAATTAAGAAAACAAAAAAATACAGACTGGAAAATGTAAGAAAATTGAATAATGCCAAGAGTCACTGGGGATTTAAAGAAGCAGGAACCTTCTTGCACTGCTGGTGGGAGTGTGGATGGGTGTAGCCATTGGACTGCACAATCTGCCAGTACATAGTCATATTCAATATAAACACATGTTATGGCCCCCAAATTCTACTTCTATATCTACATATCCCAGATAAATTCTTATACAGTCACAAGGGCACATATATAAAGATCTCTTTGCAGTGTTATTTGTGGTAGCCAGTAGTAGGAGTCAACCTGGGTGCACATCACTGGGAAGGAAGACATATGCTATGTTGTAATTATTCACCATAGGGTACTATGCAGCAGTTGAAAGCAGTAGGTTATACTTATATATAGCAATGTGGATGGTGAAGAATGTATGAAACAATGTGTGTGTATGTGTGTGCATAAAAAACAATACACAGTTTCAGGAACAGAGCTTAACATATATTAAATCCATTAGAATATGGCTGCCTACAGGGTAGGGGAAATAGGAATAAAAATAGAGTTTATGGATAAAGGAGGATAAATAAACATATACATACACACCTTTATGTTTACAACAGAGGGGCCTTGTCTGAACCAGTAATGATAATGTACCTGGAACTGGGAAATATAATAAATTCAACCCTCTATTATCTTCCGTTGCAAAAAAAAAAAAAGTGGGAGACAGCCATTTTTAGCTATGTTTACAAATAATAGTCAAGAAATACTGCATTTTGAGCCCCTAATTTATCTGAATTTCCTTGCATCCAAGGCAAGAAGAGAAATACATTGAGTTACAAATCTGGGTTATATCAAAATGAACACAACTATTTGTCAGATGAGACAAATCTTGTCCATGTAGTGAATTCCCAGAAAAACATCTACCTTAGACTAGCACTAGTGATTTTTATGCTATGAGACCTTTAACAAGGAATTGAGCAGGGGTGTGTGAGGTGGTGGGTAAGGAGATAAAAAAAAAATAAATGCAGAAGGAGAGAAAAGACAAGGGCCAAGGGACTCCAGTTTCCATTTAACCATATTAATCTATTACAGGTATTACGTTTCCACATAAGCTTTTATTTGAAGAACGGATTCCGTGATTAAAAAGAAAAAAATGAGAGCCATTCTCCTAGGCCTCTGTATAAGATATTGAACAACATAATGAACAGTATCTTCAACAGCAGTTATACAAAAGTTGCAGAGTACTCTTCATATCACTGCTTCTTTTATCAACACTAGATGGAAACTGAAAGCATAATATTAGATCACCGTTTTCTGAAAAGACATTTCTATGGGAAGCTAAAATAATGTAGTATAGCATATGTCTTCCTGGTAATAGAACTTGGTAGAGAGAGAGTACACTTAGAGAACCCAGAATAATTGACGGTTAATGTCCTGTGGACTAACTCCCCAAGGTCCTTGTCAGGCTGCTTTCAGAAGATTTAAATGACAGGTAAGTGCCCCAAGTTACAGATATGCTCAATTGTTGACTGAAAGGGAGCCATCTATTTTAAAGAAAATTGAAATATTAGTAAACACAAAGAACTTGCTTTGTATTCTTACCCAAATGGAGAGCTCCCTAGCTCCCCTCAATACACCTACATGCATGCACATGCACACACAAATCCCACACTCCTGCATGGAAGCGGATTGCAGAGGCACCTGTGGGTGGGGTCAAGCTTCTTATAGGTAACTGTAAGCAGCCTTCCATCTTCACAAGTACTTGAATAGTGGCCCAACTGAAGTCCCGTGAAACAACTCCCAGTAAAGGGAAAACATGGGTTTTACCTAGGCAATTCTAAGAACAGCCATAACCAATTAGCTGCTATGAGACCACAGAAGACCCTTGATGTTGTCCTAGTTCTTCTCTTAGATCATCGGAGGGTGGGACACCAGACCTTAGGGTGGTGTCTGAGATGCTGGACTGGATTCAGGGGTAAACGTAACTGGATTGCAGGCTATGTTACACCATTTTTGTGTTGCAATAAAGAAATACCTGAGGCTGGAGGCTGAGTGCAGTGGCTCATTCCTGTAATTCCAGCACTTTGGGAGGCTGAGGCGGGCGGATCACCCGAGGTCAGGAGTTCGAGATCAGCCTGGCCAACATGGCAAAACCCCATCTCTACTAAAAATACATAAATTAGCCAATAATGGTAGTATGCACCTGTGATCTCAGCTACTTGGGAGGCTAAAGCAAGAGAACAGCTTGAACCCAGGAGGTGGAAGTCTCAATGAGCCAAGATCATACCACTGCACTCCAGTCTGGGCCACAGAGCAAGACTCTGTCAAAAAAAAGAGAGAGAGAGAGAGAGAGAAAGAAAGAGAGAGAGAGAGAGAGAAAGAAAGATGGAAGGAAGGAAGGAAGAAAAGAAAAAGAAGAAAGAAAGAGAAACAAAGATGGAAGGAAGGAAGGAAGAAAAGAAAAAGGAAAGAAAGAAAGAAAGAGAAAGAAAGAAAGAAAGAAAGAAAGAAAGAAAGAAAGAAACAAATAAACAAACAAACAAACAAACAAAAACAAAGAAAGAAGGAAGGAAGGAAGGAAGGAAGAAGGAAGGAAGGAAGGAAGGAAGGAAGGAAGGAAGGAAGGAAGGAAGGAAAGAAAGAAAGAAAGAAAGAAAGAAAGAAAGAAAGAAAGAAAGAAAGAAAGAAAGAAAAATACCTGTGGCTGGGTAACTTATAAAGAGGTTTAATTGGCTTACGGTTCTGTAGGCTGTACAAGAAGGATGGTGCCAGCATGTGCCTCTGGTGAGGGCCTCAGAAAGCTTACAATCATGGCAGAAGGCAGAATGGGGAGCAGGCATCTCACAAGGTGAGAGCAGCAACAAGAGAGAGGGAGATGTGCCACACACTTTTAAACAACCAGATCTCAGGAGAACCCACTCACTATGATGAGGATGGTACCAAGTCATTCATGAGGAATCTGTCCCTATGACTTACACTCCTCCCACCAGGCCCCACCTTCAACATTAGGGGTGACATCTCTACATGAGATTTGGAGGGAGAAACATCCAAACTATATCACAGGCAGCCAAGCATTGACTCAAGAGAGACGGAAAAGTTAGCCCATGAACTTCAAGCTTGTGGTAATTAATAGAGTAGCTAATATTGGACTAACACCTATGCCCATAAAAATTATTAACTGTAGACAACATATATATTTTTTAAAACCTGTTTTAGGAACTTGGGGGTGGCCAAAGCAAGGAGAAACTAGAGAGGATATGATCTCATGAAGGAGAGTATATTGGCTTACTATAGCAGGTAGAGCAGTTTGGTAAACTGGGTATCTTAGTTCAGGCTGCCATAGCAAAGTGCCCTAGACTGGGTGGCTACAAATAACTGAAATTTATTTCTTGCTGTTCTGGGGGCTGGAAGTCTGAGATCAGGGTGCCAGCAGGGTTGGGTTCTGGTGAGGCCCTGCTTCCAGATTATAAAGTGCCAACTTCTAGTTGTATCCACACGTGGCAGAAAAGGGCATGAGAGGCCTCTAAGATCTCCTTAATAAGGGCTCTAATCCCAGTCATCCCAGTCATGAGGATCCACCCTCATGACCTAATTACCTCCCAAAGGTCCCACTTTCTAATTTCATCACACTGGGAGTTAAGATTTCAACATATACATTTGGGCAGGGGTGGGGGGACACAAATATTCAGCTCATAAAACTAGGTGACTTAAAGAGCAGAAATGTATTATGTCACAGTTTCAGAGGCTGGAAGTCCAAGATCAAGGTACTGACAGTATTGGTCCCTCTCAAGGCTGTAATGAAGTGTCTGCCCTATGCCTCTCCCCTAGCTTCTGGTGGTTTTCTGGCTTGCAGAAGCAACTCCAATTTCTGCCTTCATCTGCACATGGAGCTTTCCTTGTGCATGTGTCTCTGTGTCAAAATCTCCCACTTGTTCAGGACACCAGTCATACTGGGTTAGGTCCACCCTATGACCTCATTTTAATTTGATAACCTTGTAAAGTGTTTTTCTCCAATTAAGATCGCTTTCTGAGGTATGGGTTAAGACTTTAACATAAGAATTTTGGGGGACAAAATTCAACTCACAGCAGTAAACAAACTAGGTAAGATCCACATGTAATTGGTTTTTCCCCTGAAGGCATGCCCAGTCTGTATGACACATGGTACACAGAGATCAAGCAGAAAGCAACAGCCTTACTGGGCTGTCAATCACTGAAAGTCAGAGATCGGAATGTAGAGTTGTCTAAGTGGCTAGAAAATCACAGGTCATATCTCAGAAAAGAGTGAGCCATTTTCGGGGGAGGGACACAAAATATGCAAACACACTGCTCTCAGGATCCTGCCTCACTTCTGGACTGCTCATGGATTGAGTGAGGTACTAAGAAATCCAGAAAGCTGTAAACAGAAGGCTAAAATAGCTAAGAAGATATTTCATTAGCTGCCTCATGCTGAGGGAACAGAGTTCAGGGTTAAAACCTCACCAAAGTTAGAGATTTTTGGTAAACCCCAGAAGGCTTTCTACTGAAACGCAAGAAGGGCCAGACCTTAGGACTAGTGACAATATCTGAGCCTTAAACCTAGGGGAAAACTGAAACAGAGCCAACCCAGCAGAGCCTAAAATCAAACCTCCACAATTTGAGGTGATCTGCAGGAATTCAGTTGCTTTATAGAACAAAACCTAACACTCTTCAGAGTAAAAAAACAGAACCCAGGATCTCTAGATTATATCATCCATAATGCCCTATATATAATTAAATGTTACTGGAAATGCAAGAGAATACAAAAATATGACAAATCATCAAGAAAAAATAGTCGATAGAAATAGACCCAAAGACAACATGCATGATAGAATTAGCAGAACTTTTCAATAACTAGAAGAAAAAGCTGGGACTAAGATGAAATGAGTGAGGCACTTGCCTTGAGTGTAAAATTTAAGGAGGTGCCAGAAAAACTGGGCAATCAATATAATACAATAAGGCAGTATTTTAACAAATCAAAATTAATGCAAAAGAAATCCATGATGTACAAACTACCAAAATTTAAAATAAGGGCAAGATCAATAACGACGCTATACTAAGCCTTGCTGAAACTGGGGAAAAAAATCAATAACGCTGACCTTGTCTTCATTCAAAATTTTTGTCAGAAAAAATGACAAAATATTAGGAAAAAATTTTCCAAATACAAATAAGACAAACATAGATCCAAGAAGCTCAGCAAAACCCACCCAGAAAAGAAAATATAAAGAAAACCTCACTGAGATATATCAAAAATCAAAATGCTGAAACAATAAAGACAAAGGAAAAAAAAATCTCCAACAAAGCCCAAGAAGGCACATTCCATGGAGGAGAACAGCAACAAAAATAACAGCTGACTTCTCACCACAAACAATAGAGAACAGAAAACAACAGAAGCATATCTTTAAAATGCTGAAGGGAAAACAAAACAAAATGAAACTTCAATCTTGATTCTACATCCAGCGAAAATATCCTTCAAAACAAAAAGTAACGTAAAGGCATTTTCAGATCACTGAAAGTAGAAAGAATTCATTACCAACAGACCCACACCACAAGAAATGCTAACCGAAGTTATTTGGGCTCAATAGAAATTATGCGAGATGGAAATTTGGAAATACAGGAAGGAATGAAGAACGCTGAAAATTATCAATACATTCATGCATCACTTAATGATGGGGATATGTTTTGAGAAATGCATGAAATGGTTAGGCAATTGTGTCATTGCGAGAGCCTCAGAGAGTGTACTTACATAAACCTAGATGGTATAGCCTATTATACACCTAAGCAGTATGACATATCCTATTGCTCCTACACTACAAACCTATACGGTATGTTACTGTATTGAATACTGTAGCCAATTGTAACACAATGATAAGTGTTTGTGTATCTAAACCTATCTAAAGATAGACAAGGTACAGTAAAAATACAATATTACAATCTTATGGGACCACCATCATATATGCAATTCATAACTGTGTATGGATAAATTTTTTAATTATTTTTTTCTCAGAGTCTTTAAAAGAAAATGGACTGAAGTAATAAAAAAATATCCTGGTGTTTATAAAATATGTAGAATTAAATATGTGACAATAGAACAAAGAACATCATGTGGTAAATGGAATTATACTTTAATTTTGACATTAAACCAAGAATGGTATAACAATTTCAGAGAGACAGTGATTAAGTTAAAGAGGTACATTATAATCTCTAGTCAATAATTTTTTTTTTTTTTTAAGACAGAGTCTCACTCTGTCACCCAGGCTGGAGTGCGGTAGCATGATCTCGGCTCACTACAGTCTCTGCCTCCCAGGCTCAAGCGATTCTCATGCCTTAGCCTCCCGAGTAGCCTGTAGGCATATACCACCATGCCCGGCTAATTTCTTTTGTATTTTTAGTAGAGGTGGGGTTTCACCATGTTGGCCAGGCTGGTCTCAAACTCCTGACCTTAAGTGATCTGCCTGCCTCAACCTCCCAAAGTGCTGGACAATAAACTTTCAAAATATAGAGAGAGAGAGATGTAGCTATAATGCTAGGAGAAGATAGAATGAAATATTTTAAAATACTTTATTAACCCCAAAGGGGGCAGGAAAATGAGGCAGAAAAGCAGAGAACAAGTAAAACAAACAAACAAACAAATAACAAAAAGATGACTCTCAGTGCCCACCTAAGTAGTGGTCTGAGACAGACCAGAGTTTGAAATCTGGTTCCACCCCTTACCCTCTGAGTGAACTTTGTAAAGAGTCTGAACCTCTCAAAGCAGTTTCCTTATCAATAAATAATAGTACCTGCCTCCCAGGATTATTGTATGAAATATTTAAAACTGTGTCACTTAGCACAGCCCCTAGCCTTAATAAGCTATCAATAAGTAAACAGTGGAGACAACACAAAAGAATTCAGTAGAAAGATGAAGTCACATGAAAGATGAGGGGTAAAAATTATCTTTTTAAGACATTGCTCATTTGTTGATGGCTCTGTGAAACCTTTACCAAATTCTCCATGAAGAAATAATTGATTCATTCCCAGGACTCCCAGAGCATTTTTTATATAACTCCGTAATAGCACTTAATAAACTGAATTATATTTATTTTCTTTAATTAAACTTTTCATTTTCAGATCATTATGGATTCACATACAGTTGTAAGAATACAAAGAGATCTCAAGTACCTTTCACAAGGGAACAGTTCCTATCAATGGTAACATCTTTTATGAAACTACAGTACACTATCACAACCAGAATATTTTCATTGACACAATCAAGATACAGAACATTTCTATCCCCACAAGGATCCCTCGTGTTGCCCTGATATAGACACATCCACTTCCCTTAGCCCTTTGAACTACTCATTTGTTCTCCATTTCTGTAATTTTGTCATTACAATGATGTTGTAAAATGGACTCGTACAGTGTGTAACTTTTGGGGACTGTTTTTTATTCACTCAGCATAATTCTCTGAAGATGAATCCAAGTTGTTGCGTGTATCAGTAGATGTTCTTTTTTAGTGCTGAGTAGTATTCCATGTTGTGAATATGCCATAGTTTAATCATCTGTTGAAGGATATCTGGGTTGTTTCCAGTTTGGGACTATTACGAATAAAGTTGCTATGAACAAACATATACAGGTTTTTGCATGGACATAAATGTTCATTCTGGGATAAACGCCTAAAAGTACAAATCTTAGATTGTATAGTAGTTGCATGTTTGCTTTTTTAAGAAACTGCCATTGTGAATAGTGCCGCTATAAACATATGTGTGCATGTGTCTTTATAGCACCATGATTTATAATCCTTTGGGTATATACCCAGTAATGGGATGACTGGGTCAAATGGTGTTTCTAGTTCTAGATCCCTGAGGAATCACCACACTGACTTCCACAATGGTTGAACTAGTTTACAGTCCCACCAACAGTGTAAAAGTGTTCCTATTTCTCCACATCCTCTCCAGCACCTGTTTCCTGACTTTTTAATGATCACCATTCTAACTGGTGTGAGATGGTATTTCAATGTGGTTTTGATTTGCATTTCTCTGACGGCCAGTGATGATGAGCATTTTTTCATGTGTTTTTTGGCTGCATAAATGTCTTCTTTTGAGAAGTGTCTGTTCATATCCTTTGCCCACTTTTTGATGGGGTTGTTTGTTTTGTTCTTGTAAATTTGTTTGAGTTCATTGTAGATTCTGGATATTAGCCCTTTGTTAGATGAGTAGGTTGCAAAAATTTTCTCCCATTCTGTAGGTTGCCTGTTCACTCTGATGGTAGTTTCTTTTGCTGTGCAGAAGCTCTTTAGTTTAATTAGATCCCATTTGTCAATTTTGGCTTTTGTTGCCATTGCTTTTGGTGTTTTAGACATGAAGTCCTTGCCCATGCCTATGTCCTGAATGGTAGCAAAGACTTGGAACCAACCTAAATGTCCAAAAACGATAGACTGGATTAAGAAAATGTGGCACATATACACAATGGAATACTATGCAGCCATAAAAATGATGAGTTCATGTCCTTTCTAGGGACATGGATGAAACTGGAAAACATCATTCTCAGCAAACTATCACAAGGACAAAAAAACAAACACCGCATGTTCTCACTCATAGGTGGGAATTGAACAATGAGAACACATGGACACAGGAAGGGGAACATCACACACTGGGGACTCTTGTTGGAGGGGGAGGGGGGAGGGATAGCATTAGGAGATATACCTAATGCTAAATGATGAGTTAATGGGTGCAGCACACCAACATGGCACATGTATACATATGTAACAAACCTGCACGTTGTGCACATGTACCCTAAAACTTAAAGTATAATAATAATAAAATTTAAAAAAAAGAAACTGCCAAACATTTTTCCCAAGTGGCTGTACCATTTCACATTTCTACCAACAATGTATGAGTGAGCCAGTTTTCCTGCATTCTCATCAGCATTTGCTGTTGTCACTATTTTTTATTTTAGCCATTCTGATAAGTATGTAGTGACATCTCATCTCATTGTGGTTCTTATTTAGACTTTCCTAATGGCTAATAAAGTGGAACATCTTTTCATCTATTTTGATACGTATATCCTCCTGGTAAAACGCCTGCTCACATCTTTTGCCCATTTTTAATTGAATTGTATGGGGTTTTTTTTTACTATTGAGCTTTGAATTATTTCTGTATTATAGATACTAGTCTTTGTTATATGTATGCTTTCCATATATTTTCTCCCAGCCTGTAGCTTCTCTTTTTCATCCTTTTCATGGGGTCTGCTGCAGAGCAGTATTCCATTTTGATGAGGTTCAACTTATCAATATTTCCTTTTATAGATTGTGCTTTGGATGTCAAGTGTAAGAATTCTTTGCCTGGCTCTAGTTCCCAAATATTTTCTCCTATGATTTTTTTTAAATTTATTTGTTTTGAGATGGAATCTTGCTCTGTTGCCCAGGCTGGAGCGCAGTGGCGTGATCTCAGCTCACGGCAACCTCTGCCTCACGGGTTCCAGTGATTCTCCTGCCTCAGCCTCCTGAGTAGCTGGGATTACAGGAATGCACCATCACACTTGGCTAATTTTTGTATTTTTAGTAGAGACGGGGTTTCACCGTGTTGGTCAGGCTGGTCTCGAACTCCTGACCTCAAGATCCGCCTGCCTTGGCCTCCCAAAGTCCTAGGATTACAGGCATCAGCCACCGTGCCTGGCCTTAAGTTTTAAAATTTTAAATTTTACATTCAAATTCATAGTTCGTTTTGGGTTAATTTTTGTATAAAGGGTGAGATTTTTGTCTAGGTTTAGTTTTTTTTCCTATAGCTATCAAATTGTGCCAGCACCATTTGTTGAAAGGGTTATCCTTCCTCCATTGAATTGCTTTTGCGCTTTAGTCAAAAATCAGTTGGGCCTATTTATGGGGGTCTATTTCTGAGTTCTCTATTCTATCTATGAGTCCATCCCCCAACCAATACCACACAATCTTCATGACTGTGCCTATATAATACATCTTGAAATCAGACACATTAATTCCTCATATTTTATTCTTTTTTATTCAAACTTCTTTGGCTATTCTAGTTCTTTTGCATTTTCATATAAATTTTAGAATAATTTTGTGTATATTTACAAAACCCTTGCCAAAATTTTTATAGGAATTGCATTAAGCTTATATATCAATTTGGGGAGAATTGATATGTTTATTATGTTGAATCTTCCAATTCATGAACATGATATGTCTTTCCTTCGATTTAGATCTTTAATTAATTTCATTAGCATTTGTGCTTTTCAGCATATCAATCCTGTATATGTTTTCTTAGATTTACAACCTAAATATTACCTTTTGGGGGGATCAGAAATGGTATTTAATTTCTTATTTCAATGCCATTCCACAAATCCCTAGGGCATGGACACAATGCAGCCAAGTTTTTTGCTGTAGCATAACAAGGGTGACCTTTGTTCCAGTCCCTAGGAAATCCCTCGTTTTCATCTGAGACCTCGCCAGCATGAAACTTACTGTCCATATTTCTATCAGGATTTTGGTCACAGCCACTAAACGAATCTCCAAGAAGTTCCAAACTTTCCCTCTCTTATCTTCTTCTGAGCCCTCCAACTCTTCTAACCTCTGCACATTGTTCAGCTCCAAAGCCACTTCCACATTTTAGGTATCTTTACAGCAACACCCCACTCCTTGGCAGCAATTTTCTGTCTTAGTCCATTTTCTGTTGCTGTAAAGGAATACCAGAGGCTTGGTAATTTATAAAGAAAAGAGGTTCATTTGGCTTACAATTCTGCAGGCTGTACAAGAAGCAGAGCACCAGCATCTGCTTCTGGTGAGGGTTAAAGCCTGCTTCCAGTCATGGTGGAAGGGGAAGGAGAGCTGGTGTGTGCAGAGATCATGGGGCAGGAGAGGAAGCAAGGGAGAGCAGGGAGGTGACAGGTTCTTTTCAGCAACCAGTTCTCTCAAGAAACAATAAGAGTGATAACTCAGTCACTCCCGCTGCCCTAGGGAGGCCGTTAATCTATTCATGAGGGATCCATTACCATGACCCAAACGCCTCCCATTAGGCACCCGCACTCTGACACTGGGGATCAAATTTCAAGATGAGGTTTGGAGGGACAAACATCCAAACTATAGCAAGTAGTTGTTGTCCAAAAGTTTTCTGTCTTGTTAATTGTTCTCTTTCCCAGTCCTTTGGCTAGAATAAACAGGCTTTTGTTGGGTCTTTTTCTTTTTCTTGCACCTGTTGGCATTCTGAGTTGCCAGTTTCTTTATCTCCATGTCTGGGATATACAAGACCAAAAGAAAACCCAGGGAACTCATCATCATCCTGTCATTTCTTCTTTTCTTGATCTCTAGCAGTGTGCCTTTCTTCAACCTTTTAATGTCTCATTATTTTTCTTATGTACAGTATCCAGGATTTTTCATTGTACTTACTAGGGAGAATAGGGCAAAGTATATCTGCTCTATCCTCTCAGAAGTGTACTGAGCAAACTGCGCTTTGCTTTTTTTTTTCTTTCAGATGGCGTCTTACTCTGTCACCCAGGCTGGAGTGCAGTGGTGCAATCTCGGCTCACTGCAACCTCCGCTTCCCAGGTTCAAGGGATTCTCCTGCCTCAGCCTCCAGAGTAGCTGGGACTACAGGTGTGCTCCACCATGCCTGGCTTTTTTTTATTATTATTTTTAGTAGAGATGGGATTTCGCCATGTTAGCCATGCTGGTCTCAAACTCCTGACCTAAGGTGATACACCCACCTCAGCCTCCCAAAATGCTGGGATTACAAGCATGAGCCACTGTGTCCAGGCGGCACTTTGCTTTTAAACAATTTTCTCATCCACCAAAATGTTTTGAGAGCCAGAAGCAAACTTTATTCATTTTAATTTCTTCAGCACCTAGCAGAGAGCTTGTGTCCAATATACACCTGTTGAATGAATATTGTGCCAAAGCACGTGTGCAGAATCCTGTGTAGTACCCAGCTTCTTCCACTCTACATTATAGCCTCTCAAATACTGAGACTGTGTCTGTAATTTACTTGGACCCTGAGCTTTCCTCATTTTGTGCCCAGGGCTTGCACTCTGGTTTGACTGTGTGCTGTACTGAAGGCCTACTATGGGGGATGAAGACCATAGACAACTCAAGACCGAAGCCAACAGTTCTAAAGAGGGCTTGACACCTGGTATAGAGGTGGTAGAAAGTTCCCAGTGAAGAAAACACCAGAAAGTTTTCAGAGTGATTGTGCCTGAAAGTTTTCATTTCATCTCCCCATATGCTACCACCCCCAAAGCTGTTAGGCTGGAATCAGAGAAAACAAAGCAGAAGAGCTTTTGGGATTTGCCAAATTGAAACAAAATTGCATCTCATTAAAATGTGCACACGTACTCACACATAGCATACCCAATTCATGGGTTACATGAATTCCCAGATCACTGGGTAATTTATTTGGTTCCTATTCCTGCACTGTTGAGAGGCACTGAAGTACAAACCAGCAAACATAAATAATCAACAGCTTTAGTGCCTTTATCAATCATAAACGTTGTGCTCAGTCCCTCAGGAGAGGATTGTAATTACATTCTCCATTCACGGTTTGGGTTGCTCAGTCCCTATGTGTGGAACTTGAAGGCCAGCCTCACTCTCTCCATGATATTATTCAAAGACACAGATGCCAGACTGTGCCACTTTTTAACCAAGAGAAGTCAGTCTCACACTCTCCTGTCCTTCAGAGAAATAGATATGGCTAAACCAGGTTTGTACAATAGAAATATAATGTAGGCAATGTAGGAAATTTTTAACATTTTAGTAGTCACATTTTTAAAAAGTAAAAAGAAATAGATGAAATTAATTTTATAATACATGTTTATTACCCATATCCAAAATACTATCATTTCACTATGTAATCAATATTTTTAAAAATATTTATTATAAGTCTTCAAAATCCAGTATGTATTTTACATTTATGGCTCATCTCATTTGAGACAACCACATTTCAAGCTTTCAACAACTACACATGGCTAGTGGCTGCCATATTGGACAGTGCAGATCTAAACCATGAGCAAGGAAAGAACGAATGAGTGAATAAGAGTCAGCAAGTGAGTGAATGAATGAATGAGTGAATAAAAGATTCAGCAAGTGAGTGAATGAATGAGTGAATAAAAAAGTGAACAAGTGAGTAAATGAACGAGTGAGTGAATGACTTAGTGACCGAATGACTTAGTGACTGAGTGAATGAATGAATGAGTAAATGAGTTAGTAAGTGAATTAATGAATGAATGAGTGAATAAAAGATTCAGCGAGTGAGTGAATAAATGAGTGGGTGAGTGAATAAATGAATGAGTGAATGAATGAGAGAGTGAATAAAAGAGTCAGCAAGTAAGTAAATGAATGAGTGAGTGAGTGAATGAATTAGTGACTGAAAGAGTGAACAAATGAGTTAGTGAGTGAATGAGTCTGTGAGCGAGTGAATGAATGAGTGAATAAAAGTTAGCAAGTAAGTGAATGAATAAATAAATGAATTAGTGAGTGAATGAATAAATGAGTTAGTGAGTGAAGGAATAAGTGAATAAATGAGTGAATGAATGAATGAGTGAATAAATGTTAGTGAGTGAGTGAATTAATGAATAAATTCATGAATGAATGCATGAGTGAGTGAATAAGTAAAGGAATAAATGAGTGGAAGAATGCATGAGTGAGTGAACACATGAATGACAGAGTGAGTAAAAGACTCTGAGGCTCCTGGCCAGCCCCTCACATCAATCACATATGCCGGCTGGAGATATCAGGCAAGAGCTAGAAACTTCACAATTATTACCCGTATAAAAATGTCCTACCTTACACTTGTACAACAGCAATTTATGCCTTCCCCAAGCTCTGTCACACACACCCTTTGGTCCTCATGACACTCCTGTGAAGTGGGTAGGAGTCAGCAGCAGTCCCAGGATCCCAGCCCTGGCAGACAGCCCCACTCCCACTCTGCTGCCCTCTCAGCTATGGGCCAAGAGAAACGCACCAGAACCACACCCATGAAGACCATGTGCTGGTAAAACTCCCCGCTCGGGTCTCTTCGGCAGAAGCTGCTCACCTCCACTGACTGCATTTTAGGCTCTCCCATGTCTTTGCTTACTTGGAGAGAGACCCCTGGTCTATACTCCAAAGGCAGCCAGTTGCTATGTGTTGTGGAGGAACCACCTGCCTGGAGCAGGTAACCATTCCCAGCCCTGTGCTGCACTGTATAGTTTCCCAAGGACTTCCACACACATCTCCATCTCCTCCACTCCCAGAACCAGGCCAACCCAGCCCAGCTGTACAAGCATAAGGCTCAGTCTGGAAGGCCAATTCCAGGAAGGTTCTCAGAACCTGGGATGGAGTCAGGAAGGATGTTGTATCCAGATCATAGGTGAAGGCCAGTGAGTGTTGGCATGCACACAAGTCCATGATCCCAAAACTCATGCATTTGTAAAGAAATGGACAAAGACCAAATCAGAAGGGAGAACAGAACAAGATGCAGCTGGAGGGGAAGGCAGGCCTGGAAAGTAAAATTAGTCCTAGAAATCCTATAGAGATAAAAAGCAGATTACTGGTTGCCATGGGCTGGCGGCAGGAAGAATGGAGAGTGACTGCTTAAGGGGCATGGGGCTTCCGTTTTGGTGCTGAAAATGTTTTGAAACTAGACGGTGGTGATGATCGCACAGCACTGTGAATATAATAAGTGCCACTGAATTTTACTCTTTAATAAGGGTCAAAATAGCAGACTTTGTGTTAGGAGTATTTCAACACAATTAAAAAAGAAAAAATAGTGCTGGAACTCCAGCCAAGTCTCCTCACTCAAGCCCAGCTCTCCTTCCCCAGCAGCTGTGGCTCACACAACCCAGCACAAACTCTTCCCCAAGGGTTGAGAACATCTTTTAAGGACAGTCAAAAACAGACAACCCCAAAATGCCCCACCCTGTCTGCAGAGTAGAACACTCAATGAACATCAGTGCTGTGCGGCCAAAGAGCCTGAGAATTACAAATGGTCACATCTGGAAGATTCTATTCTGCCCAGAGCAGCAAGGAGCTTGTTTACTGGGTGAGTGTCAAATTAAGGGTAACACTCTAAAATACTGAACTCCACTCTTCAGCTCATTAGGGAACTTTAATCTTTGAAATTTGTAAACCCTTCTTGAGGTTATTTATATGTTCCACCTGTGCAATATCTATTGGAGATAGAGAGTTGCAGGAATTTAATACTACTCATTGAGTAAAGTAGGTTCCCTTCAGTTCTCCTAAAATTATCTCCTGTCAAGTTTTATGGGGATGCAGGAGAAGGAGGGATTTAGGACTAAGATGTTAGGATTTTGACATACACTCCATCTTTCATAACTGAAAATGTTTCATCCCATCCTCTGCCAGTCTTGATCTTTCCAGAGTTAAGAATCCCAATTGCTGTCCCATCACTCTTGATCATTAGTAGCCTTTCCTACCACTTGTATATGTTTCTCCTCTCTCTTTCTCTCTCTCTCTCTCTCTCTCTCTCTCTCTGCAGGGGGAGTAATTAGAATGTCTTGAGATATTAGAAAAAGAGATAGAAGCAGCAGCATCTACGATTACCGAATCTGCTCTCTGCTTGGCCAGCAGATTCATAAAGGAATTGGAGACTCACATCCTCTTCCTGGTCCTGTCAGCTCCCAGGCACCACATGACCCAGCTCCTGCCTTGCTCTCCAGCCTCATCTCCATCACTCTGCTCGTTGCTTGCAATGCTCCAGGTGTCCTGGCTTCTTTCACCTTTCAAATGTGTCCAGAATCTTTGAACCACAGAGCTCTAGACATGCTCCCCACTTCACAGAAGCAAAGCTGTGCCTGTTACAGAGAAAATGTGCACAATGTAACATCTAAAATCCTGACCACATTCTGGGCTCTGGGAATTCACAGATGAACGAAACACAGTCTCTGCCCTCAAGGAACTCTCAATCTAGTGGCAAAGACAAGAAAGTAAAGCAATGATCACAACAGCAAGCACCACTGCAGTCCAATGCTGCACTGGAAGGACAGCATATTTGGGCGGCACAGAGGAGAGTCATGGGATCCAGGTCAGGGGCATCAAGAAAGGCTTCCTAGAGGAGGTGATATCTGGCATGAGCTTTGAAGGCCGAGTAGGGGCTCTCTACTGGTGGAGGAGACCCCTTCCAGGTAGAACAAACTGCATGGGCAGAAGCACTGAGGAATGAGAGTGGTCCAGGAGCCGAGAGTAAGTGGACCAAGATGAGTTTAGGGGGAATGGAATGAGGGAACTCAAGCAGCCAGGTCTTTTCAGAGCTTCCCCAGTGCCAAGACAAGAGCAAGTGGGAACACCAGGGCACCTGCCTCCAAGAGTCTGGAGCTGACAAATGGAGCTGCTGCTATTAACACTGTGGGCTGAGATGCCTTCTCTCATCTCCTTCCTGTGGAGCAAATATGCCTTTGTCATCCAGGTCCTGAAGGCAGTCAACACTAAATACCCACTTATTAGAGACCTGCAATGTGCCAGACATGAAGCTGAGTGCTGGAGAAGATAAAAAGAAAATATTTCATGGCAGCTTACATGCGACACATTCACACACATGCACACACACATGCACATGCACACTCACGTTCAGGTTCACACACACGCACACTTACATCATACCGGAGAGCAGCCTCAACCTCACCTTCAAAACTGACAAGCTGTCCCCTGCTAATGAGAGCCAAAAGCCACAACTCCTCCTGCTCCAAGTCCCCCACTCACTCCAATACCTCCTTAAAGATGCCTCAAGATCCATTAACCCAGACAGAAATTTCCATTTTACTATGAGAAGAAAGGTTTCAACTACAACCACGTGGGAGAGTCAACATCTCACCTGAACACCTCTCACCCTGTGGTGTCAGTGAGCAAATAAATAACTTTATGGTTAAGTGTGGGTCCAACTCTCTAATCAGGCTGTACATACCTGGAAGGCAAATCCTCTTAGCCCCCAGTTCCAATTTTAGACACTGTCACCCATGTGTCTTGGATAAGTGAGACTGTGGTTCGGTGTGCCCCACTCTGCCTTTCTCATTGTCTTCCTGGGTTGCTGGCAGCCCTCAGTGTCAGACCCCCATGGTCACCACCACTGTGAAGGCTCTCTCAGACTCCCTTGATGGTACCAGAGCACCTTGCACAGGCCCCTGCATAGCAGAGGTCCCATCTTATCACTCTTGCTGATGTTTCCCTCCTAGACAGGGCACTCCTCAAAGGCAGGGGCTCTGTTTCATTCATTTCTCTCTCCCCACAACATCAAACACCATGCCAGGTGCATTAGTACATTTTCACGCTGCTGATAAAGACTGGAGAATTTATAAAGAAAATGAGGCTTAATGGACTCACAGTTCCACGGGGCGGGGGAGGCCTCACAGTCATGTAAGGGAAACCCATTATAAAACCATCAGATCTCATGAGACTTATTCACAACCACAAGAACAGTATGGGGAAAACCACCCCCATGATTCAGTTACCTCCACGGGGGTCCCTCCAACACATGGGAATTATGAGAGCTACAATTCAAGATGAGATTTGGGTGGGGACAGAGCCAAACCATATCACCAGGCACATGGCAAAAACTAGATTTTACAATGTAAGATAAATGAATCACGGAAGTCAAAGGCGTATGGTTTCTAGCTCATGGAAAAGTTGCTGTAATGTATAGTCCAGTTCCCCAATTGCCCCTGCGCCCGTAAATCACAGTCGGCACTTTTGTTGTAGCTCTGTTAGACAGCACGATTCCTAAAGATGGTAATCTCTGGTGACAGATGGGTTGGTTCACTGAACTGCCTCATACAATGCCACCTTCCTCCAGCAGCAACGAGACCCTGGGCATGACCACATTGCATCAGACCCTGGAGCATGTAGCCCACTGCTATCTCCAGCAATAGCCTCAAGGGCTGGTGCCACATAGAGAAGCACATGGGGCAATTTGCTGCATTATCCAGAGGGCAGGGCCCCTGCCTGTGCTGCCACCAACAGCCACAAGCATCTGCTGTTCTCCTGCATTAGACCAAGGACCAGCACCTGCTAATTCCCCATCTGGCCATCCCAGGACAGAGCTTAAAAGTAAGACAAAGAGTGCAAGTTCAACAGCAAGATGTCATTAGCCCACTTTTCCTGTTTTCTTCTTCAAAGTAAAACTAAATACTCCGCAAATAATTCAACAGACAATCACAAAAGAACGCTTAAAGGTGGGGAGAGGGTCACATAAGGACCTCAAGACCTAAAAAATGATACTGCAGCAAGTCCCCTGAGTTTTTTTATCCCCTGCACATGCCAGCCTGGGTACTGGAGAGCCCTGCAAGCGGAACCACCAAGTATGGACAGAAGATTTAAAAAGAAAGGAAACAGGGGCCAGGCATGGTGCCTCACGCCTGTAATCCCAGCACTGTGGGGGCCAAGGCAGGCAGATCACTTAAGATCAGGAGTTAAAGACCAGCCTGGCCAACATGGTGAAATCCTGTGTCTACTAAAAATACAAAAATTAGCTGATCATAGTGGTGCATGCCTGTAATCCCAGCTACTCGGGAGGCTGAGGCAGGAGAATCACTTGAACCCAGGAGGCGGAGATTGTGATGAGCCGAGATTGCACCACTGTACTCCAGCCTGGGCTACAGAGTGAGATTCCATCAAGAAAGAAAGAAAGGAAGAAAGAGAGAAAGAAAGAGAGGAGGGAAGGAAGGAAAGAAGGAAGGAAGGAAGGAAGGAAGGAAGGAAGGAAGGAAGGAAGGAAGAAGGGAAGGAAGGAAGGAAGGAAGGAAGGGAAACAAACAGGAGCTGTGAGGGGGGAAGCCCCAGGAGACTTGTCAGGAAAACCCACATCACGTGGCAATGGTGCCCAACCTACCCACAGCAGCTTCATCAGCACGGCCCAAGCAGCCCAGCCCATCACTCCCCCATTGGGCAAGCTTGGTCACTGTCTACCCACCTCCCACCCCACTGAAATGCTGCACCTCAATCCCCTTGCAGGCCTGTGCTGCCCTCTACTACCTGCTGGAGTTCCAGGGTTCGTTCCACACTCCTCTCGGGTCAGAGTCCAGGCTGTTCCAACTGCTCTGCTGCAATGCACCTCCCTGCTCTGGGTACCTCTTGGAGCCTTTGGGAGTGCCCATGCTGCAGCTGCCACCTACTCTTATTCCATCCCAGATTATCAAGATATTAGGTTGATGCAAAAGTAATTACAGTTTTGCCATTACTTTTAATGGTAAAAACAGCAATTACTTTTGCACCAACCCAATACCTTTCTTCTTAGTGACACTCTTTTGCAGGGGTCCCCCAATTAGAGAATTTGAGGAAACACCCCAAAGCTGCTCCCTCCCCAACATATACACATACCACCCCCCCGCCCAATATGGTTTGACTACGTCTCCACCCAAATGTCGAATTGTAGCTCCCATAATTCCCATGTGTCGTGGGAGGGACCCGGTGGGAGGTAATTGAATCATGGGGGCGGGTCTTTCCTGTGCTGTTCTTATGATAGTAAATAAGTCTCATGAGATCTGATGGGTTTATAAAGGGGAGTTCCCCTGCACATGCGCTCTTGCCTGCCACCATGTGAGTCATGACTTTCATCTTCCCCCATGATTGTGAGGCCTCTTCAGCCACATGGAACTGTGAGTCCATTAAACCTCTTTTTCTTTATAAATTACTCCGTCTTGGGTATGTCTTTTTAGCAGCATGAGAACAGACTAATACAGAAATAGGGTTGAGGGCTCACAAATAATAGCTCCTACACTCACCAAATCACTCCACAGGTCCCTGAGCCTTGAGTCTGCCTCTGAGTGCCTTCCTGGGATTCTGCCAGCCAGGGTCTCTTTTACGCAGCTTCACTTCCCACCTGGTAGTTTGGCCTCTGCTTCCCAATGCCCGCTTTCAGTTTACCTGACATATCTGATCATGTCTAAACCCCAAATTTAGACATGGCTGGAGCGTCTTCCCCCACAGGAAGTTTTTAGCCACCATTCACGTCAGTGGATGCACATTTGATTTGCAGGGTTGTCCTGCAAATAGTCCACATGCAAAAATAAATCACAATATCACCTACTGGCTACCCTGGACTTCTGCTACACATTTTGCTTAGATGAGTTTCTTCATATATAACTCCCACGTTTCCCATAGAAAATTAGTCTGGCCCTTTAAAAAGGAAACTTGCAAAGTCAATTCACCAGTCCCAGCTTAAGGAACTCTTTGGAATCAATAGGAACAGAGTAGCACCAGCCCGGGATGGCAGGGCAGAGGGGATCCAGAGAAGATGCCTGCCCTCCGCAGGAAGCCACAGGGGGAGATTTGCTCCAGCTCACAATTTGAAAGTCTTCGTTCTGAGGAATTTAATTATAGCTAATAGCGAGGATTAATTGCTTTGTACTGTCTTAGTATAAATAAATACTTTCTTCATTTGTCTTTATGCTGCTGTTTCAATCCCAAGGCCCAAGTTCACATGAGTGTATTAGATAGATATGCTCTACCCAGTTCACCCCAGGTGGCTTAAACTAGATAAAGCAAGACCAGAAAACTCAAGGAGGCTGCTCCTGCCCCTGAATGCTGATGGGTAGCCAGTGACCTCATGTGGAAAGGTCTTGGACTGCTTACACATATTGTCGTAGGCTTACGGGTTTCACAAACATCACTAAACCCTGTGTGTGGTAGAATCTCCTTTTGTTTGTCCTACAACTATAAGGCAATGTTTCCCAATGTGCAATCCACAGTCTTCCTGCAACAAAAATCATCCTGGGTTCTTGTTAAAAAGGAATATTTCTGGGTGCTACTGAGACCTTCTGAATCAGCATCTCTGGGGGTGTGGCCAGGATGTGACATTTTAAATAAGCTCCCCCAGATATTCTAAGTGTTGGTCTATACTCTTAGTAATTTTTGACTTATGCTGTCCTTCTTACAAGATCATGATGGTGATGATGATGTTGATGATGATGGAGGAAATGGGGAGGATGATGGTGGTGGTGGTGATGGAAGATACAATAAAATTCCTTCGTATGTCCTTGGTTCTCGACCATTTACAGAGCTCTTTATTGCATTTAGTTCTCACAGAGATTTCATTGTTACAATCCCATTTACAGATGAGGGAGGAGCTGAGATTTACAGAGAGGTTAGAAGACTTCTGAAGCTCAGCAAAGCATTTACTCTGGGTTGTTTTCCTGAAATGACAGACTTATAGGAATCAACTTACTCTTATCCTGTCCCACCCCCTAAAAACCACAAGCTAGAGGTGCCAGGCCAGACCTGACTGGGTCTCAGGTTAGGCCCAGAGAATCATTCTTCTGAAGGACTACACACATGACCCTCAGGCATGTTCTATGCAGCCTGGAAGACTCCAAACTCCTGAGCCAACTGCTACTTACCTGGTAAAGGCCTGTAAGCCTCCTCACCCCACATACTCATCAGAAAAACTGCATGACAGTCAGAACTGGTGTTATTTGTGACTGTGCCTCTGCCACCTAATGTGTGTCCCTGGCAAGTCACCTAACTAAACCTCATCTCCTGTAAAATGATAGGTTAATAAGATTAAGTGGAAATAATGCTATTGAACGTTCTTTGCAATTGTAAAGTGCATAAACGTGACTCTTATTGTTAATATCATTACAATCTTTTGAGTTTCATGTTCAGACCTCCTTCCATGTTCTTCCTCCTTCCATCTCTCTCCACCCTCTCCCTGGCCTGGTCATCACCATGTTTGCCCAAGCTGGGAGCCAAGGGTCCAGCACCTCAGCAAAGAATGGCTCACAGTAATTCAAAAGCTGTTTTTCCTCCGCATGTTTTAGCAGTCCAGAAAGGCAAGTCACAGCCATAAATTGTGTACAGAAAGGACAGCATGTCACCAAAGGGGCCATTACCTCCTTAGAAGTCAAGCAACATAGATTAGAATGAAAATTATTTGGGATCTTCATCAGTCGGCTGAAATTGTTCAAGGCTCAGCAATTCACTGAGGTTTGCCACTGGGTCATTGATTTTAGTAGTGTGTGTATATGTGTGTGTTTGTGTGTGTGTGTGCGTGCGTATGCACATGCTCCATCTTTCATTGTGGCTCAAAACAGGAAAGAACAACAGAGACCATTACAAGTTCTGTGGGCCTGAGATTGCTCTGAAGATCTGGGTCTGGTGGTTCTCAGCCTGATTTAGTCTAGCAGAGTCCTCCTGGGGACACAAGGAGGTCTCCACAAGGCAGAAGGCCATGGAGGGAGAAGGCTCCATATGAGACTTCTGAGAAACACCTGCTCAGAACACAGAAAAACTATAGGCAAGGACAGGACAACCTAGAAGCCAAGGACACCATTACAGATGAGGCTTCAGATTCAGCACCACGGAGCTCAGTGTACTCACCCCAGGTCTCAGTGGAACCCGGAAGCACAAGAGCAGCCATGGCCCTACCTGACCCAAGATCTAGTTGTCCAGTCCTGTGTGTTGGACTCCTGGGTCAGAACAGTCATGTAAAAGGAAGAACAAGAATAAAACCACATGCTGATCAAGTGCTCACTATGTGCCAGGCACTGTGCTAAGTATTTCACGTGCATTATCTCATTTGATCCTACAAAACCCCTAGGAACTAAATTCTAGTATTAATATTATCCCCAGTTAATAGATAAGCAAACTGATTAAGTGCCCACTGGTTAAGGGCCTTACTCAAGATCACAGAACCCATCATGGGGAAGCCACAATGCATACTCAAGTCTTCCTCCAGAACCACACACTTCACTGAGTTCTGCACTCAGCCCTTTACGCAGGCCCTGGCCCAGAGGTTAAAAACTCAAGTTCTGGGGCTGGACTACCTGGTTCAATGCTCTGCTCTGCTATTCACTACCTATGCACTTTCACCTCTTTGGACTCTGTTTTTCTAGTTATAAAATAGGTATAATCCATATCATAGAGCTTTGAATGAATCAATATATGCAAAGTCCTTCTTAGAGAACGTACAAGTGTTCAGTAAGTGAGCATTTAAAACTGAGTTGATTTTAAGGAGGCCAAAAAGCCAAACAGGAGCAATGAGGCAACCCAGAGATTAGCAATGGCAAACTACCACTTACATCCCTATGCTGCTGGGACAAAGGAGGCCTCTGGATTGAGGG
The DNA here is from genome assembly GCF_000001405.40 of Homo sapiens. Taxonomy (NCBI): domain Eukaryota; kingdom Metazoa; phylum Chordata; class Mammalia; order Primates; family Hominidae; genus Homo; species Homo sapiens. The sequence continues at coordinate 160,187 of NW_017852932.1, forward strand.
ACCCAGGAGCCTGGTCACCTGGCAGACCTGCTTACTGGGTGCCAGAAACCTAGAATTGCAGCCAGTTCTGGAAATGCTGTCCAAGGCAGAGAAGGAGAAATGCCCTGGCTTCTTCCTCCCAGCTCCCAGCTCCTGCCAGTCTCCCATAGGCTGAGACCAGCTGGAAACCTGCTGACCCAGGGGCTGGAAGACACAGCCTATGAGAGTTAGGCCCTGCCAAGCAGAGCAGCGTGGGGCCAGGGCATAGAGTGAGTCAGAAAACAGCAGGCTTGGAATGGGCATGACCTGTCTTAAGGACAAAATCCAAACTCCTTAGCATGGCCTGTACAGCCCGGGCTGTGGCACCCCGCCAACCGTGCCTCTCTATGCTGTGGCATCCCAGAGCCCAGTTCCTGCCTGCCTCGGGGGCTCCATGCATGCCTCTACCTATCCTGTTTCTCGCACTCCTAGTTCCACTCATCCCTACTCATTCTTCAAGTCTTTAAATGTCACTTCCTCTGAGGGGCCTGTTCTCTGCTATCTAGAATAGGACCCCCCTCTCAGTAATTTCAAACTCAGCACTCTCTTTTTTCCCTTCATAGCATTTTTACCCTTCACTTTTCCCAAAACCTAGCACAGGGCCTGGTACAGAACAGGCGTCAACACCTGCTTGTTGAGTGAGTGCATGAATATGCTGATCAGCCTTCATTCACCAGGCCAGACGAATGCTCAGAAGAGCCAGCCACAGGGCCAGCTTCCCAGAGGTCCCAGGCCCCTGGACTCCTCACTGCCTCTTCTAAATGCCCAAGAGCACAGCTCTACCTTGGGTCACTCAAAAACTGCTGCCACTCCCAAGAAATTCTGGCTGTAGGCCAAGGGCAGGATCACCTGGGTAGGACCTTCCCCCTCGGCTCATTCCACCCCTCACTCCCTCATTTACCCCCAACCACTCACCACGGTCCAAAGGAAAACCCTTGGATCCATCACCTCGGGAGTGCCCCCAGGCCTTCTCTCTTACCTTATATAGAATGTACCCTGGGTCTTCTTGTGGTCAGGATCATATTCAGCTTTGGAATCTCTTGTGGTCATTTGAAATCTTTGGGGTTCCTAGGGGTACAGACTAGAGCTCTTGGGGTCCCCAGGGTCTCTTTTCCCATAAAAATAGGAGGAGAGAGTAAGAAGAGAGAAAGGCAGGTGAGGGCAGCTGCCAGCTTACAGAGGAGAAGGAGGGATGGGGAGGGAGAGCGCGTACAGGCCAGGGAAAGTTGGAACAGCCTGTAAGTAGGCCAGAAGGGTCTGGGCTGAGCCTGTGATTAGCACCACTAATCATTTCACCAGCTCAAAATAAGTTCTCTCCTCTGAGACCATCCTCCCAGGGTCAGCCCAAGCTCCTGATTAACCCAGGTTGCTGCTGTTCTGCTGCGAGAGAAAATAACCCATGGGAGGGCTGGAGGAGTCCGGGAATCTGAGGTCCCCAAAGGTCATTCCCCCAGCCTCCCAGCACACCACCCCTAACCCCCAGCATAGGAGCACGCTCTCAGGGCCACCAAGCCTCCTACTCTCTGGTGGGGTGCCCGGCCACAGGGTTAGTTCAGGCCCCCTCCCACACAGAGGAGCCCAGCCAGCAAGATAGGTAATTGGCAGGGCTTGGGGCCAGCCCCGGGGGGATAGTGATCTGGGAGAATATCCTGTCTTCCGGATTGTCACCCTCACTTATCCTCAGGGTGCTGCAACCCCCAGAGTGCTCTCTGGGACTGATCTCACATCTGCTCCCAGAACAGTATCTGAAGTGATTAAAACCACACAGCCCCTCCATTCACACTCCTGTCGTCTCTCAGCTGGCCACCTGTCGGGCCACCAGACCAGATAGCCACTTTCCCTTCTCCTCTAAGGACTCTTGTTCGACATGGTTGTTTGGAAAGGGGGGCCTGTGGGTGCAGAGACCCGGAATTACAGCAGCAGTTAATTGCCTAGGTAGCAGCCTGGCCGAGGCAGGGGACGTGTCTGCTCAGAAGCCAACTCAGGTTCTCTGCTGAAGGTCATTAGGAGGAGGTAGAACTTCAACGTCTTCATCCCACAAGGCCACATGGAAGATGACAAGTTGGCTGGCCTGAGCATAGCACAGCTTCAGATGCAGCAGTGGGCCTCTGCGGGGACCTTGGGGCACACTCCTCTCTCTGAGTGCCATCTTCACCTGACAGGCACTATTAATTGGCAGCTGTGAGAATGCAGTGGAAGGACCAGTTCCAAAGACATGTTCCTTAACCTGGAAGCCCCACACACCCTCCTGCCACTCAGCCTTATCCTGCCTGGACTTCAGGGCCCATGTCCAGTCCCACCCTCTCCACAGACCCTGTCCTGACTATACTACACAAGCCTACAGGGCCATTTATCCACCAGGAGGTAGGCTGTGCCTTTAAAAATGTGGGTAAGGGAGGTAGTTATATGCTGGAGAAATGGCAGACAGTGTCAAGCAAGTTTATGGCAAGGACCAAACAGAGTGTCCGAATTGCCTCTGCCCCAAAGAGGTGATAAGTACATGGCCCAGGCCTTCAGTGGGAGTGGGGGTTGATGCTTCTAACATGCAGCTGGGGAATAGGGATGTGGGAAAGTGCTACAGGCAGGTCCATGGTCCCAAAGGAGCCATCCACAGGCAGGTTACAAAATTCCTACAAGGCCAATAAAGGAAAAGCCAGCAGGAACCCTAGGGACTTCAGGGAGCTGCTTTATGAGGCCCTTTAGAGTGGGCCACCCAAAAGCCAGGCCTAGAGGAAAGGCCAGGGCAAAAAAGCAGGCAACAGAACCACTTCCCCATCTGCTTCTGTGGCCCCAGGTGAGGTCATGCTCTGAACCCTTAAAGGATATGCAGAGAAGACGCGAAAGAGCCCAAAATCGGGTGGGCTAGAAATTGACAGGCCAGAAGACCCCAAAGCCAGGCAGAGTGGATCCTGGCTGTGGGCAAGAGCCAATGCCCTCTGTCCCCTTCTCCCAACCCACCCCAGGGAACTTGGGCAGAGAGCATCAGCCAGGCAGTCCTACCCATCTCCTGGGGAGATGCTGCTAGCCACAGAGCCTGTATCGGCATCCACCCAGAGCTAGCGGCAGCTGCTTCCCAGTCCCACCCAGGCAAGGTGCAAGAATGCCCTCGCAGCTCATCAGGTGGCCAGCAGCAAGTGTGTGCCTGGGGGGTTCCATGAGGGCCGGTTGCTCTATCTAGCTAAGCCTCCATCTCCCATGGCCTTCATGCAGCAGCGTGACTCTTGCCCCCTAAGATCATTGTGGGGAGGCTGGCCAGGCCAGCTGCTGGTAGTTCACAATAGGGTTCATGCTCCTGTGAACCCTCTAACAGCTCTAACAACTGTTTCAGCCAGAGAACAATGAAGCAACTGACTGTCAGCTAGCTGCCCCAGGGCACACTGCACAACCATGGGGCACAGGCATGTGTTTTTGCAGACACATACAACACACCACACACACACACACACACACACACACACACACACACACAATGTGTAATACAGGTCCCTGTCCTATTCCACAGCCACAACTCTCAACAATGTCTGTCCACACACAGGACAATGTGTACCCTGCTGACCAGCCCTAATTTCTAGATATTCCATCCTGATTATTTTAGGAATTTTGGTTTCCCTATGAACTTTATGCCCAATATAAGAGTACCCTTTCAGAATGCAGCCTCCCTTCCACAATGGCCTCTGTTTATAGATGAGTAAATTGGATGAGGAAGCTCGTCCAACACCACAAAAGCCTTTATGTAACCAAGCAAATATGAATGGCCCAAGCCACTCATCTCTGAGGCATGGCTGGGAGCAGGGGGTGCCTAACATTGAAAACTGTGTCAGATTCTAAGAGCTACATCACAAATAGTGTCCATTGTTCTTGTAGATGCAGACAAACACACAAAATTACACTCTAAGCAGCAAAAGTGGTAAAATTAAGTCTGTCTGGAAGGTCTGGAACACCTTCATGGAGCACGTGACATTGGACCTTAGTCCAGTGTGGGGAGGGCCACTGTGCAGGAAGGACTTCTAATGCACCAAACATGGTGGCAGACGCTTTACAGAGAGCCTTAGTGCAGCAGCCCCCAGTGTTTTTGGCACCAGGTTTGATGGAAGACCATTTTTCCATGGACCAGGGTTAGGGGCCAGATGGTTTTACAATGAAACTGTTCCACTTCAGATCATCAGGCATTAGTTGGATTCTCATAAGAAACGTGCAGTCTAGATCTCTCACATGTGCAGTTCACAATAGGGTTCATGCTCCTATGAGAATCTAATGCCGCTGATGATCTGACAGGAGGCGGAGCTCAGGGAGTAATGCAAGTGCTGGGAGTGTGTTTAAATACAGATGAAGCTTCACTTGCTTGCCCTTGCTCACCTCTTGCTGTGCAGCCCCGTTCCTAACAGACCATGGACCAGTACCCATCCATAGCCCTGAGGTTGAGGACCCTTATCTTAGTGAATCTTCACATCCATGCTGTGAGGTGGGTGCTTTCCTCATTTCTACTTCACAGGTGAGGACAGGAAGCCTTAGGGTGTTTGACCCAAGTGATATTGCTAGAAGGAGTAGACCAGGATTTAAACCTAGTCAGGGTGACTCCAGAACCAGCACTCTCAGTTGCCACGTTGTGTTGCATCTCAGAATGGGAAGCAAAAGCATTGGCAGGAACAGCTGCCAGGTGGGAAACATGGGGAAGGGTCTTGAGGCAGAGGTATGGCATGTGCAAAGGCAAAGAGTGGGGACATCATGGTGGCCTTGAGGGCCTACAATTTTGCATCTTGGCAAGATCAGCTCTGGATTAACAGGAGGCAAGGTTAGAAACAGGGAAATTAATGAAGAGCTTATGACCATGAACAAAGACAGTTACTCCACAATCAGATATAGGGAAAGAGAGTAATGTGTGGGAGTCTAACATAATTCCTAGGGGCTGGCCCACAGAAGGAGGGGCAAGTTGAAGGAGGGCAATAAAATGAGTCCAGGTTGCGTGGGAGGAGAAGCATTCAGGTGAAGCTATCTAGTGGGAAGTTCAATATAAGGTGTGTGGTACAGGAGAGAGCTCTGGCCAGGACAGATGTGTATGAATGGGTAGACGTGAAGTCACGGACAACCTTGGTCTGGTGCAGGAAGAATGAGAAGAAAGGGAAAGAGGACCCTAGGAAAGGAAGCTGAGATATGACAGATGTGTAAGTTCTGGGCAGAAGAAGAGGAAGCAGCAAAGACACTGGGAGATGCTGGTCAGGGAGCTCAGGGGAGAAGCAAGGCAGAGAAATGGCTCAGGTCTACAGGGTTCTAAGAGAAGAGGAGTGGCTGACTGGTTAATGCCTCAGGAAAGTCAGGTGAGTTGTGGGCTGTAAAAGGACACATTAGGAAGTAGGGAGAACCAAAGCAGAGAAAAGGCTCAGGTCTACAGGGTTTTAAGAGAAGAGGAGTGGTAGATCGATTAATGCCTCAGAAAAGTAAGGTAAGGTGTGGGCTGCAAATTGACATATTAGGGGTCACTGGGGGCTTTTGTCATTAAAATAGTAGATTAAGGAGAGAACAAAAAACAAAGTTGAAGATGATGATCTTCAAGGAACTGTCTTCAAAAGGAAGAACAAAATGTTGCTAGCATGGTTGAAGAAGAGATATTTTTATGTAAGTTGATTTTTTAATTACTTAGTGATGGATACATGTGATAGAATATATGTAAAGTATCCATGAATGCTTCACTTAACCTAAGAGCTCCACTTAACCTAAGAACCAGAACATCGCCAGTACAGCGGTACCATACTCCATCACCTCCCTAGTAACTGTCCTCCAGGAAGAGCTTTTGAAGATGGGCTGAACTGAAGCATGTTCAAGGACTATGAGGAAGGGACAATAGAGTGGGAAGATCTTGTGGAGTCCCTGAAGGAAGAACGGGATAGACTGTAAGTACAGGAGAGAAGAGTGAACAGAAAAATCATTCCTTGCCCTGAGCCAGGAGGAGAGGAGTGAGAGTTGATGTACATTTGGATGAATTGAGAGAGAATGAGGATAGGAAGCTGGGACAGCACTTTCCAGATGACCCCCATCTGTTCCTCAATAGGACGATGATGATGAAGATGATGACGATGATGATGATGATGATGATGATGACATAATGATGATAAATGAGGCAGTAATGTTGTTAGGACCTTGAGGGGAATAAGCTGACCAGAGACACATAATGGATTCTTGCCAAGCAGCACCAAGAGCCTGCCCAATGGATCTGCAGTGGCTCCTTCCAGCCAAGTATATGATCTCCTCCAGTGGTTCTCAACAAACCCAGTGAGTAGAGGAATTGACAGATAGCTGGATGGACCCAAGGTGCACAACTTACCTGCGTGGGTCTAGTCCAAATAGAACAAATCCAGATTGATAAAGCAGCTTGTAAGAACTGGGTTGGAGGACGCACCCTAGGATATTGGCTACCCAGAAAAGAATAGGAAAGGAGATGGGGCTGGCCTGTGGGCAAGAGAAGCATCAAGGGAAATGTACCTCTAAATGAGGTGGGAGAACAGAGGACACAGTAAAGCACTGAGGTAAGTGTCAATGAGCGCTGTAAAGTGCTAACTAAGTTTGCATCTGGCTGTGACACCTATCAGCTATGTAGCCTTGGGCAGATTTTTAACATCTTTGAACCCCCATGATCTTACTCATAACAATTCCTCTCTTAAGGGGTTGTCACCCTAAGCTCAAAGGAGGGAGCTGTGAAAGTTCATTGTAAGCTGTGTGCAAATGTCAGCAGTGATGAATCAGGCAAGGAGGTCAAGACAGTCTTCAGGTTTCCAGCAGGACTGGGACTCAGTAAGTCATTCCTCCCCATCATTTGGTAATGATGTCATTTGGTAAGTAAGTCATTCCTCCCCGTCATTTGGGTGGCTGCTTTTCCCTTACTCTGCCCTTGTCCTTCCCAAATCTCATTTGGTTGGTTTCTGACCAATCTCTAAAACCTACTCGAGTCAATTTGAATTCTAATCTGATCCTCCAAGGTGCCCCTCCAGCCTCAGCTGGGTGTCATCTATGAAATTAATGAGTGTGCTCTCTGTTTCATCATCTAGTCCATTGCTGGAAACATTAAATAGCCCAGGGCTCCAGACTTTGAATTGCTCCAAATGGACTCTCACAAGTCTCCAGTTTTTTTTGTCGTTTGGAGACATACAGTGGGAAGCCAAGCACTTCCTCTCCTGGATTTCAGCCATAACCCCACCACCACCACCACCACCCTCACCTGCAAACGTGGTCTTTCCATGAGGTGCCAAAAAAAGACATCGATAGTTAGCAATCAAAATAAGGCTCTCTGCCCTTCCCTGAAGATCACACCACTTCTATCTCCTGAAGCATTCTTTAGGAGACCCTGGGCTTACTGCCTTGACTCTGGCTCCTGCCAGTGCCCTTGCCTTAGGGGCCTCTGAGCCATCATCCACTCAGTCCATGATGTTTAGTGTATATCTTAGTCCATCTGGGCTGCTATGACAAAATACTTTCCACTGCATAATTTATAAACAACAGAAATGTATTGCTCATAGTTCTGGAGGCTGGGAAATCCAAGATTAAACTGCCGATAGAGGAAGGCCTCTATAGATGATGCCATCTATGTGTCCTCACATGGCTGAAGAGGCAAATAGCTCCCTGGGGCCTCTTTTACAAGGACACTAATCCCATTCATGACGACAAAGCCCTCATGACCTAATCACATCCCAAAGACTCCACTTCTTGATACTATTGCACTGGGGATTAGGTTTTGACATATGAATTTTTGGGAACAACAAGCAGTCAGACCATAGTAGTGTATTAGCAATAATTTACTACTGAGGAAGAATTCTTGGGGTACCACTTGGGAATGTGTTGAACATAATCCAGTCCCACTGATCTGCCTCCACTCTGCCAGTTCTAAGATACAGGTCCTGAAGACAGCACATTTCTCCTACCCCCTGGCATCCCTCTTTCCTTAACCTTCCTCTACATGATTTTTTCTTTTTTTAGACAGAGTCTCACTCTGTTGCCCAGGCTGGAGCGCAGTGGCGTGATCTTGGCTCACTGCAAGCTCCGCCTCCCAGGTTCATGCCATTCTCCTGCCTCAGCCTCCCGAGTAGCTGGGACTACAGGTGCCCGCCACCATGACCAGCTAATTTTTTTTTTTTTTTTTCAGTAGAGCACGGGGTTTCACCATGTTAGCCAGGATGGTCTCAATCTCCTGACCTTGTGATCCACCCGCCTCAGCTTGCCCAAAGTGCTGAGATTACAGGCGTGAGCCACCACACCCAGCCTCCTCTACATGATTCTTGAAGGACAACACCCAGGATTCATTCATTTTTTATTGTCTATCTATGAAGTGTCAGCCTCAGTCATTGGTGCACAGCCATTAACAAAGCAAACATGATCTCCTCTCTCCATATGAATACTGCAGTCTAAACTCTGCCCTGCTGTCCGTCTCCCCTGATGTCTCGAAATAGTCATTTTCCACACACCCCCAACCCCCTGGATCCTATTTGACATATCCTACACTGATTCTTCCCCCACGTGTTTGGTGAAAGTCACCTTCCACAGTTGATCTTCTGTCCAAATTCTGGCTCCTGGCTCATGCTCAGTTTTCCACATCATCTTTGTCACCTTTTTTGTCCCTTTGTATGTCTCACCAGTTCTCTATCCTGTGCCTAAGCAGGCATTCCTTCTTTCATAGCTGCTATCTTCTGTAGGTAGGTTGAGCCCTAACCAACCCTACTTCTACTTTCCCCTCCGTCCCCTTCTTGCCCACCTTCTGCTAATGGGTTGGCCAACATTAACGTACATTTGCAAAGCAACTACTTTGGACCTCTTGTCTTTGGTCCCACAGGTATCTGGCTTTGGCAATTCCCTAATTGGGAAGGAGGTTTTCCATCAACTTCTAGTGCTTTCCTGCCTCATACCTAGACAGATCCAGGTTTCTTCTGGGGGAGGTTGGTGAGCACACCCCAGAATTCCCTTCATGAGGAATGAGACCCAGTGCCCTTGGGGTCTATTTGCTCATCCATCACTCGACAGTCCTGGCTATAGCTGTGCCTGACACAGTGCTAGGCACCAGGAATCCAGAGATGATTAAGACATACTATATTGTGTGAAAGCAAAAGAAAGGAATTCTTTTTTTTTTTCAATTGAGGATGTTGGAATGTTTCATAGAGTTGACATGCAGAGACAAAAAAACAAATGGAGAAACTATAATCAATGACACTGGTTTTAACTTAGCAATCTGTCATCTCTGCAGAGAAATATTTTTTAGCTACCCTGCTGGCCTCACTGAGCAGCTGAGACACATGTGTGTGCAGGTGTCTGACATAGTTGACTCCATCTTGCTTCTAACCTCCAAGCTGTCCTTGGTCATTCCTGGGCATAGGCCAAGATAACTTGGGGAGGAATTTAGTTTATACTTTAACCTTAAAGCAAGGATAGTAATAATCCTTTCCAAAACTAAACCACCTTTGTAAAACGAATGAAAGGCCACAAGTTAGGATTATGAGAGGGGTCTGAATTCTACTAAGATGTAGGCATAGTTAATCAATAATCAGCCATTGTTCCAAAGGACCATACTTCCCCAATTATTCCTGTAGATAACATCACTATTGTAGAACCTAAGACTAGCCTTTTGAGATATTTGTTCAGACTTTTGCATTTCTGACAACCTGCTGACTCCACTCAGATCTGTGACTCATGACTCAATGGGTCCAGCTGTGTGATCCCACCCAGAGGCTGAGTCTGTGCACAAGACCCACTTTCTATACCCTTATGATTTCGTCTCCAACCCATCAACATTCTCCACTCCCTAGCCTCCCTTTCACCAAACTATACTTGAAAAACTCTAACTTTTGAGGAGACTGATTTGAGTGTCCATCTCCTCTATGGCCAGCCTCACGTTAGTAATACTCTTTCTCTACCACAATAGCACAATTCCAGTGGATTGGTGTTGTCTGTGCAGGAGGCAGGAAAAACCCATCGGGTGATTACACAAGTGTGTGTCAGCCATGGAAGAAGGGGTTTGTGTGAGAGTTTCCTCTTAAACAATAGAAAAGCCAAAGAGGGAAGAACTCAAAGGGTAAAGAGCAACCTCAGAGACCTCTGCTGGTCCAACCTTCAGCACCTCCCTCTCTGTTTTGCCCCCATCTAACCAAGAGCCTAATGGAGACCTCATCAGTTCCACCTTCTGAGCACCTCCTATGTCTTCTGTCTACATTACTGTCTCTACCTAACACAGACCCTGCTGTCTCCCATCTTGTTGACTGCAGCAGTCTCCTAATTGGTCTCTCTGCCTTCAACTTGACCCTTCCAGATGGTTCTTCCCATGGCAGCCATAGCATCCTTTCTAAAACACAAATAATCCCTTATCTTCTTCAGTGGCTCCCCAAGTGCCTTTTGCTTAGCAAAACTCCCCAAGTCTGCCATATATGGCCCCCTGCTGATGGCTCCAGCCTCATATCTCACCACTCCCTCCCCAAACCTAGATGGAATGTCCAATCCATGCTGTGTTGCTCTCTCCTACCCCCATCTCCCCACACTTTCCACATGCTCTTAATTCCTGAAACACCTTGGCCCTTCCCATTCTTTCACCTCCTCTTTGCATGGCTGATCCGTAGTCAATATCAAGGTATCAGCCTGGGCTTACCTTCCTCTTTCCTGGCCCCAGTCTAGGGTGGGTACATGCCTTTTATCATCACAGGATATCATGATTGCCTGTTTAGTCATCTGATTCTCATTAGATCATAGGCTTGGAGAAGGCAGAAACCACTCCTGTCTTGGAGACTGTTGCATCTGCTGTTCTAAATCAGTACTTGTTGAGTTAGCAGTGCTTGGTATTTACTGAACAACTGAATACGCTGTGATTCCTTATAAGGCTCCACATTCAGCATTGTCTTCTCAACTAAAATGAAGCATTTTGGTGATTTCTCCTGAAAAATAGATAGAATCCCAAACTACCAAAGGTGGGAGAACTTTAGAAGTCCTCAAACTCAAATCTCAGGTGTCAGCTGAACAAATGGAGTAAGAAATGGAGTAACAAATGGAGAAGTGAGTCACCTGGAGCTGTGAGGAAAGTGGTCATGAACATTGCTCTGATGTCATCTGTAGTGATTAGTGGTACCTGCCCATACCCTACACAACCCAGCCTCCAAAGAAACCTGTCTGTTAGTGATTGCAAAGCACGTTCCCACCCATTTCCTCGTTTGAGCCACACAACAATCCTACAACATTGATTGGAAAGGTGTTATCAATGCCCCCATTGTACTGATCGGGGAATTGAGGCTTAAAAAAGCCCAAGTCACAAAAGTCACAACTCCCAGGGAAAGAGGAAGGTCCCTCTGAATCCAGACTTCATGCTCATCCCCACTCACCACACAGAATCTGGCTCTTTTCCATCTCCCCACAATAGGGTGGGAAGCCAGCAAGGAGCAAGACGATGCAGTCACGGCCTTGTTGCCTGGCAGCACATCTCCATCATGCTGGAGATTATCCAGCAGGTCCACAGGATGAAAGACAAAGAATCTCCTGTTTGTAGCTGGGGCTGACCCTACACTGTGTCCAGAGCTGCCACGGTAGAGGGGCAGGCAGCAGCTGTCAAACTAGCCAGTGTTCAGCTAGGTGCTTGACTTTATTTAAGAAAATTATTTTTCATCCAGTCTCACAGGCAATGGACTATGCCCTGACTTTTTTCAATGAGATTGGGAAGCTCGAGCTGACCTGACACATCCCTCCACTTTCCCTGTGCACACTTAAACATTCTGCCAAAACTAATAACTTTATTCCTAAAACCTTCAATTCACATAGGGCAAGCAGTGTCTGCCTGTGCTGTACAGAGCATGCACTTCAGTCTTTATATTACCCAGAGGAATGAGCTGCTATTATGAAATCATTAAATTAATAACTTGGTAATATAGGCAGATATATAAAACAATCTGTTCATAGAACAAAAGAAATTACTACGTTCCAAACATTCATAATTTAATTTAACAGAGAATTAAAGTAGCATACCTAATTTTAGCCTCAAAATGTCAATAGAATTATGTAAATACAGCACCGAGTCCCATGGCTGTGTGTGTGTGTGTGTGCACGTGCACGTGGGTCGTTGTGGGTGTGAACAGAGGGTGGAGTGCGGGCTTGACTTTTCCCTCCTGTAGGCCTCTCTTCTTCACAACGGAGAAGCAATTGACAGGAATAGATGAGGTGCCCAGCTTTTAATTAAGAATTTATTAAACATTCATAGAGCTGTAGAGAAAGCAGCGAGCAAGGCATGCTGCTTTCTGCCAGGGTTGGGTGCTGAGCAAACAGAAAGAGTCACAGAAGGAAGGGGATCCCACAGGGCTCCAGCAGGCCTCCCTGGGGAATAGCAAGCATCAGAGGCCACTGGGCCTGGACCACAGAATCTAAGAGGCTCTAAAGTATTTTATGAGTATGGACATGAGACGATGAAGAGGAGGGCTGCTGGCTCGTGTGGCATTATCTTGATGGAAAGACAAGAACAGGGGAACTATCTGCCCACCCCAGCATATGGCAAAAGCTAGCCTTGTTTGCGGGTAGGCAAAGGAGTGAAGTAACCTGGCAGGGCCCTGGCCCATTTCAGTCAACTCTACAAACCACCTGCCCCATATGAAGTGAAGGGAATGCAGCCAGATGCAATTCTGTGCCAGGGATGAGTCACTTCATTGCAGAAGTTTTTGACTCCCCCTCCCTGGAAGCTGGGCACTGGTTCCTATTAAAGCAGGAAGAGTACAAAGGGCATCCTATGTGGGCAGACTTTGCCTCCACCTCTATCTTTTCTTGCTTCTGAGGTATTACATCCATTGCTGCTTTCATGAATGTTTTTTTAAAGACAATGGGTATACCAGTCTTATGCACGTTCCACATTGGAAGGAACTTGCGAAGTCTAAGTCCACCCCTTTAAAAAAAAATACATACACGCACAAAGAATTTGGCAGCAATTTCAAGGGCCTCACGTATTGCACTGATGAACCCAATGTCAGAAATCTCTGGTTCAGCTGAAGACACTTAGCATGGAACCACATATATGAAGAGCAATGTATGTCTGGTGCCAAGGATATAAGATAAACAAGTAAGACAGGAGTTGACAGAGGGCTCCCGGAGGAAGGGGAACAAGGGAACTTGAGCTTGAAGAAGATAGGGGGAGAAGGAGAGATGGAGCCAAGGTAAAAAAGTAGGCATGCATAACGGATGGCGAGTATTTCTGTAGGGGAGCACTAAAAGAGTGAAGAAGCCATTCTATCAGGAAAATCTCTAATAACAAAAGTTTTGAAACCAAAGCATATAAACCTGTTATCCTCTTAGAAATATTTATTTTCCATATATTCATTCTGTTATGCATGAATGATAAACTAGAGGAGGAAAGATTTGGACTAGGAAACCCAGTAGGTAAACCATTATAGTGGTTTAGGGATGTGGGGAGCTGCAAGGAGACTAAAATACTATAAATATGCATGGGAAGGAGGAGGCAAGGAGACATATTGTTTGGCTATCTCTGAGAGGACTTCTAAATTGTTGGTGGATTCATCTGCACAGACTAATTGCTGTAACAAACAACCACAAATCTAACTGGCTTAACACAGTAAAGGTTTATTTCTCACTCATATCACAGGACCATGTGAGTGAATAGAGAGGCTTGATCCATGCAGTCATTCAGGGCCCAGACTCCTTCTGCCTTGTGGCTCCAACACAATCCACATAGTCCTCAGTGAGATCCTCTGCATATGACCAGCAAATGAGGGCAGACAGACAGAATGGAAGGTTGCAAAAGAGCTTCTGCTGCAGGCCAGAAGATAAAAACACCTCTTTTACCTACATTTTGTTGGCCAGAACTCGTTCATCTAACTGCTAGAAGGCTGGGATCTATAGCCTAGCTGCCCAGGAGGATAAAGGAAAGTTCCCCAGCTTCTATAGCTGATTAGGAGGGAGAGGGATAGGAAGACAAGAATGCCTATTCTCTGTCCTGGGGACTAGAAGATTGATGGGAACAATGACACAAAAAAAGAAAATTTAGAGAGGAAGATATGAGAATTGCAAGAATGGCATTGTATATCCCTATGTCTAGTATTTACAATAACCCAAGAAAGTTATAAAACAGATTTTGCTAAGACATTAGTCACACCATTATCCAAGAAGCTTGGCATCACAATTTGGCTTTTTCTTATGTGATACAGGAAGTGATGTGATTAGATATGACACCAAAAGCAGAGGCAACAAAAGATAAAAAAAAAAAATGGGTAATGTGGAGGACATCATCAAAATTAAAGACTTTTGTGCATCAAAAGACAGTATCAAGAGAGTGAAAAGGCAACACACACAATGGGAGAATGAGAGAAAATATTTTACACATAGCATAAGGGATTAATATCCAGAATACATAAAGAACTCCTAAACTCTACAACAACAAAAAATCCAAACAACCCAATTCAAAAATGGACAAATGACTTGAATCGACATTTATCCAAAGATGTAGAAATAGCCAGTAAGCCCATGAAAAGATGTATAATGTCACTAATCATTACAGAAGCATAAATCAAAACTATAATGAGATATCACTTAACACCCACTAAGATGGCTATTATCAACAACAACAAAGAAAGCAAGAGAAAATAACAAGCATGGGTAAGGACATGGAGAACTCAGAACCCTTGTGCATTGCTGGTGAGAATGTAACATGGTGCAGCTGCTGTGGAAAAGAGTATGGCTGTTCCTCAAAAAATTAAACATTGACTTACCATATAATCCAGGAATTCCACTTCTGGGTGTATACACAGAAGAAATGAAAATAGGGACTTGAACAGATATTTGCACACAAATGTTCACAGCAGCTTTATTTATAATAGGCAAAATGTGGAAGAAAGCCAAGTGTCTGTCAGAGGAATGGAAGGACAAAATACGGTTTACACACACAATAGACACTATTCAGCTTTAAAAGGAAGAATATTTGGACAAATTTGACAACATGGGTGATTCTTGAAAACGTTAAGCTATATGAAATAAGCCAGTCACAAAAGGACAAATATTGTCTGATTCCACTTATATGAGGCACATAGAGTAGTCAAATTTATAGACAGAAAGTGGAATAAAGGTTGTAAGGGGCTGTGGGGAGGAAAAAATGGGGAGTGATCATTGATTGGGCACAGAGTTTCAATGTGGGAGACAAAAGAGTTCTAGAGATGGATGGTGGTGATGGTTGCACAACCATGTGAATGCACTAATGCCACTGAACCGTACAATCAGAAATGGTTAAAACTAGTGTAAATGTATGTTGAGTATACTTTACCATAATATAAGAAGTAATGTGAGTAAGTTCATCTCCCTAAAAATGCAGAATATATGGAGAATACCTGATCAAACACAATTAACTAATGAAATGCTCTCCGAACCCTCTCAACCACACATCTGCTGCACAGTAAATCTGTCAATGTTATCAGTTCTTCATCCTAACCCTGCTTCTCCTGAGTCCTTCATCTCAGTCAATATATAGTCATTCTCCCAGCACTGGGTGAGAAGCCTTGTCCTTATCTTTGCTTCCCACAAGCCCTGACCCTTCCCTGTAAACCTTCAAGCCAACAGTCAAGTTTCTCAGCTCGCCCTTCCCTTTTCTCTCACAGCCCCAGACACCTTTCTGTTTGGCTTCCCAAAACCTTAGCTCACTGCCTGTCACACTGACAATCCAAACAGCCTCCATGCAAGGCCCCCACTTCTGTGTCTCATCAGGCTTCCTCTCACCATGGAGCCATCTTCCTACACTCAAGGCAAAGTTTGGTTTTTTACTGGAAAGGGGTCCTGATCCAGTCCCCCAAGAGAGGGTTCTTGGATCTCATGCTAGAAAGAATTCTGGGCAAGTCCAAAGAGTAAAGTGAAAGCAAATTTATGTGGAAAGTAAAGGAATAAAAGAACAGCTACTCCATAGGCAGAACAGCCCTAGGGCTGCTGTTTGGCTATTTTTATGGCTATTTCTTGATTACATGCTAAACAAGGGGTGGATTATTTGTGAGTCGGAAAGGGCAAGGAATTCCCGGTACAGAGGGTTTCTGTTTTCCTTTTAGACTAGAGGTCCCCAACCTTTATGGCACCAGGGACCGGTTTCATGGGTTGGTGGTGGCGGGGGGAGGGTGGATCATTTCAGATGAAACTATTCCACCTTAGATCATCAGGCATTAGATTCTCATAAAGAGTGAGCAACCTAGATCCCTCAAATGCGCCATTCACAATAGGGTTTGCATTCCTATGAGAATTTAATGCTGCTGCTGATCTGAGAGGAGGCGGAGCTCAGGCAGTAATGCTTGCTCACCTGCCACTCACCTCCTGCTGTGCAGCCCATTCTTAACAGGCCAAGGACTGGTACTGGTACTGGTACTTGGCCTGGGGGGCAGGGACCCCTGTTTTAGACCATATAGGGTAACTTCCAGATGTTGCCATGGCATTTGTAAACTGTCATGGCACTGGTGGGTGTGTCTTTAGCATGCTAATTCATTATAATTAGCATATCATGAGCAATGAGGACAATCAGAGGTCACTTTTGTCACCATCTTGGTTTGGGTGGGTTTTGGCTGGCTTCTTTACTGAATCTTTTTTTATCAGTGGGGTCTTTGTGACCTGTATCTTGTGACCGCCTATCTCACCCTGTGACTAAGAATGCCTAACCTTCTGGGAATGCAGCCCAGCAGCTCTCAGCCTTGTTTTACTCAGCTTCTGTTCAAGATGGAATTGCTCTGGTTTTAACGTCTCTGACAATTTGACTCTCAGGTAGATGCTGTGCAAAGTGTTGTGCAAGCGTTAGTGTTGGATGAGGGTCATCTAGCCCTCACCCTATGCAGAGGCGCTTCCGCTGCGCTGCTTACAAGAAGCAAAATGAGGATTGGAGAGCTCCACTCATCATCTCAAGGTGACAGAGCTGGTAAGTGACAAAGCTCGGATTCCCATGGAGGCCACTGAACATCCACCAGTCATCTCAGCTAGCACTAGCTCAGGGATACCATGTGCCTGGTATAGTTCTCGGTGCTCTACTAACAACAGTTCCTGAAAACCTCACAACAACTCCATGAGTAAGGCTGTTACCATGTCCATTTTACACTCAAGGACATCAAGGTAGAGAGGTTAAATAACTTGCCCAAGTTCACCCAGCTGGCAGAGTGGAGCACAGATTCAAGGCCCAGGCAGTCAGTTTCCAGAGTTAGCCTCCTAGTCATTACACTGTTCTGGCTCTGGCTCTCAGGTCAACTGTGATAGCCAATCTCCTAGGCTTAGGCCACTCTCCTCCAAAACCTACAGCATAAAGTCTACCTTCTGTAGCCTGAGAATCACCCTCTTCTCCTAACACTGCAATCTCTGCACCGGTCATCTCAGCTACACCCAACTATTCATGCAGCCCTAAACACCTCACTCTGTTCCTCCATCCTGGGATGCCACCCATAAACACCTGATTAATTTTTACAAGGCTCAATAAACTGTCATCCACTCTGCAATGCTGTGATATTGTGATGTAAAATGGCATACACAATTTGTCTTCATCCCCTGTTCCACTTGTAATGTCCTGAGGGGTAGGGATGATAGAAGCACCTTTTAATACAACATTTTGTTTTTGTCCCTGCTTCCTGAAACTGAGCTTCTGAAACCCTTGAATTTCCTGAGTGGTACAGGCAATGGGAGGTTTTTTGGTTATTCATAACAAGCCCCTTTCACCTGGACCTGGGTTTATGTTAATGAGATGATGAATGGCTGAAAGCCATGAGATACATGGCTCCAGGATGAGGCTGGTTGCTAGAGGAACTAACTCTGTGATTAAAGGGTTAGAACTTTCAACCCCTTCCCTCAACCTCCCGGAAGGGGAGATGGGCTGGAGATTGAGTTAATTGCCAAGAATGTAATCAATCCTGCTTGCATAATGGAACCTCCATTATAAACCCTAAACACTAAGGGATTAGGACAGTTTCTGGGCTGGGGAACACACCCATGTGCTGGAGAGTGGCACACTCCAAACTCCATGGGGACAGAAGCTCCTGCACTTGGGAACTTTCTGGACCTCACCAGAAAGGTAATTAGGATATCTCTTCAACTAGTTATTCAGTTTTATCCTTTATAATAAGGTAAACAAAAATAAATTGTTTTTCTGAGTTTTCTGAACAAATTATGATTTTGTGAGCAAATTATGAAACCTGAGGATGGGGTTGTGGGAACCCCTGATTTATAGCCAGTTGGTCAAAAGTGCAGGTCACCTGGATCTACTATTGGTGTCTAAAGTAGGGGGCCTTCTTGTTGGACTTGTTACCAGATAAAACCTGGGTCTGCTCACCTAGCATATTAAAGCCAAATATTTACACTGAGTTTTCGTAGCCAGAGAAAGGAGAGCACTTATTTGCAGGGTGCCGAGCAAGGAGAATCGGGCTGCTTACTTTTTTGTTTTTCTTTATTTTTTATTTTTTTTGAGACAGCATTGCACTCTGTCACCCAGGCTGGAGTGCAGTGGTGCAATCATAGCTTACTACAAACTCCAGTTCCTGGGCTCAAGAAATCCTTGTGCCTCAGCCTCCCAAACTGCTGAGATTACAGGCGTGAGCCACCGTACCCAGCCAGGCATGTCACATGTAAGACTCAACCTCCCCGATGGCTTACAAGCAAGTGTTTTTAAAGGCAGGGGCAAATTTCAGGAAAGCAGAAGTTACAAGCAAAATTGTAAATTAATACATAGAGGTTAGACATTGCTGTGGCCTTAAAAGGCAGGATATCTTGAAGCAGGGGCTTACTATACCTTACAGGTTATAGGAGGATTTAAAGAGTCTCTAATCTAAGTTTTAGATATTTCCAGTAAAGCTTCTATGAACACTCACGTACAGGTTTTCGTGTGGACTTAAGTTTTCATTTCTCTGAGATAAATGCACAAATGTGCAAATGGTAAGTGCATGCTTACTTTTATAAGAAACCGGCAAGCTATTTTCCAGGGTGATGCTACCATTTGACATTTCCACCAGCAGTGTGTAAGTGATCCAGTTTCTTTATTATTATTATTATTATTATTATTATTATTATTATTATTCTTTAAGTTTTAGGGTACATGTGCACAATGTGCAGGTTAGTAAAATTTCATATAACCATACACACAGATGGGCACACACACACATACAATAAGTGCACGTAAAACCTGTAAAATCTGAATAAACTCTGTGGATTTCACCAATGTTAAAAAAAAAAAAAGTCTCTGATCCGTGATTGGTCAAGGAAGCAAAGTTTTGTCTAAAAACTTAGGGCTAATAGAAGGGAATGCTAAGGTGGCCTGTAGGCATGACTCTTTCTAGGCCCTTCAGGAAGACATTTAGAACTCAGAATGGCAGTCAGAGCTCATTCAGTCCTCAGTTTACCCCAATCTCAGGTTTATATGCCAGCAAATGGTTTTTTCTATTTGGTGGGTTCCAGGGGTTTTTTTGTTT
The DNA here is from genome assembly GCF_000001405.40 of Homo sapiens. Classification (NCBI taxonomy): domain Eukaryota; kingdom Metazoa; phylum Chordata; class Mammalia; order Primates; family Hominidae; genus Homo; species Homo sapiens. The sequence continues at coordinate 179,617 of NW_017852932.1, forward strand.
TGTTTTTTGAGACAGAGTCTCATTCTGCCACCCAGGCTGGAGTACAGTGGCACCATCTCAGCTCACTGCAACCTCCACCTCCCGGGTTCAAGCAGTTCTCCTGCCTCACCCTCTGGAGTAGCTGGGATTACAGGTGCACACCACCATGCCCAGCTAAGTTTTGTATTTTTAGCAGAGGTGGGATTTCACTACGTTAGCCAGACTAGTCTCAAACTCCTGACCTCAAGTGATCTACCCACCTCAGCCTCCCAAAATTCTGGGATTGCAGGCTTGAGCCACTGCGCCCTGCCCGGTGGAGTCCAGGTTTTTTAAACACAGGGACCTATGTCAGGATGTTACCTTTTGTTTTTATAGGAGACAAAATATCTTGTGGCTCTAGCTTTTTTGGCTATTGTTTTAAGCCATTAATATCTTCTTTCTTATCAAGTTGCTCACTTACTTTTTAAGGATAGTAAGGTGTCTGAAATTTTTCTTGAAGAAACTCAAGAGGTTCCTTTATTTCTATGTTTGAGAGGCCTGGCCGGCCCCCAAAAGGAGTCCCTGCTCCATCTCAGATTGATCCCTTACCCTGTGAGGACTGCACTAAGTCTGGGTAGTAAATGTCAGAATTGAGTTGACTCATTGGACACCCAGGTAGTGTCTAGAGAGTTGGAGAATTAGTTATTAGTAGGATACACCCCACATATTTGGTGTCAGAAGCGTTGTGAATGGAGGGAAACTTTTCACTTAGATGCTCACCCTGATATCCAAGACTCCTTTAAAATGCATTCATTCAACCAAATGTATGAAGTACTTTCTGTAGCCGGGCTCTGTGTCAAGTCCTGGGGATGCACTGGTAACATACTTCCCATCCTTAAAACAGTGTCAAGAAAATGCTACTTTTTGTTCTTATTCAGTGGCTCCTTGGATTATCATGAACAATTTATATGTCTTTGTCACTACATCATGGGCTCCCAGAGGTCAAGATGACATCTTGTTAAACCCTGTGTTGCTTTTCTCATACCTTGATCTTGGTAGATAAAAAAATGCATTCAATGAATCAATGTTTGAATGACTCAGTGGGCCCTACTGAAGTACAAATCTCATGAAATAAAACTTAGCCTCCAGTGATGAGTCATGAGCTGGAGGAATTGTCTTTCTGCAAAACTGGCCTCCGCATCGTCTCCTAGATTTGCTGCCTTAGTTTTACTACCGTTCATTTGCATAGCAGTCAACATTTCACATAATATTTTCACATCCATCTTCTCACTTGATTCTCTGTGGTTGGGAAATGTAATCCTTTGCATTGGCTTGAAATTAATTTTCTATATGTTTCATAAGCATATTTTGATTGCCTCTGATTAGGTTGTCAAATCAAAGTCTTCTGAAATTAAACACAATATCCCTAGAGTAGTCTTCTGGAGTGAGAGTGCCTGGGCTCAACGTGTCTTGGAGCTGAGTCTGCATCTGTGAAACGGGAGCACCAACCTCCTAGCGCCCTCATCAGGTGTAAGGTAGACAACAGGAGTGCACACAGAACCTGGCTGAGAGTACATTCAATAAAGATGATAAAGGTAAGCTGTCTCTTTACTAATCAAAGTAGCAAGGCAAGAGCTATGTTGCTGAACAGATCAGGACACTGAAGCCCCAAGAATCTAAGTTTAAGTGACCTTCCCAAGTCCACAGAGTGAGTTTCCCTTAAAGCCAAACATGAAGGTTATTCTTAGGCCTTCAGTCTTCCCTACAAGCATAATTCCTTATGGAATCATGCGCATTTCCCACCCTGATCCTAACTCAAGCTCTAAACTACCCTTCCACATTCAAAAACTTACCGCTTCCTAGATCTGAGTGATTCAATCAGAAGTTCCAGTTCAACATTCCAATTTGAAAGACAAGATGTTTTCCACTGGTTTGCAATTAATTTGCTGTAATTTACACCAGTGTATTTTGATTGCTTTTGATTAACTTTAACAAACTAAAGAAGTTTGCTGAAATTAAACATCAAAGTACACAATCCTTTTTCTGAGGCACCTCGTGCATAATTATCAGCCTTGTCATTCTTGCTAAATATATGCATTATGTGGCAGCCCCTGTGCCTGGGTAGTGGTAATTAATATAGAATCCCAAAATCAATTCCAGAGAAATCCTCTAAGATCAAGGGAAGCTCATTTGCATAACTTCTAAAATGCATGAATGAATTGTTTTGAAGCCGGGATGAAAAGAAAGAGGTCTTTACAGGTCAGGGTTTCTTTGTAAAAATAGATAAATAAAACTGGCTGCATACTTAATGTTGGGTTGGTTGCAAAGAAAAATAGGTCTTTGGTGGAAAGTATGAATAAACAGGTAAATGGCTCTTTGGAGCCGTCACTTTACAGAAAGCCTCACCAAAATTAAGGGCTAAGAATTAACCGCCGAAGCAACTAATGTGCTGAGAAAAGTTCACAGGCAGCTTTGTAGCATTGCCGAAAATGATGAAATTAAAGTTAATATCATTTTATTGAAAGGTGGGAAAATCATTTAAATATTTTTAAAGGGGAAAAAAGACCTCCCCATGCATCCAATTATTTGTTTATTTTCATCTAGGGAAATAGAGGGAAAAACCCAGAGTCGGAACACAGCAGTCTGGCTGCAAAACTCTCTCTGCTGCTTAGAAGCGGAGCGACTCTGGGCGTAGGACCTAATCTGTTGAAGCTCCATGTCCTCATTGAACAACAGGGCAAGCTGGCTGTATGCCCAGCTCATTCTGAGGGGTGGAAGACACCGAGCATGTGAAAACATCATGGCAGGGCCAGGTGCAAGGTGAGCACACAGCTAGTGCTCCTGCCCCGTAGTGCTCAGTCCCTCTAGCTGCAGCTCCTCTCCATGCACATCAATTATTCATGATAATAATAAGAAACAGAATAACTAATATTTATCAAGAGCTTATCAGACCCTGTGCTAAGCACTTTTCTTGCATTATCATCTTTAATCCTCCCAATAACCCTATGAGAAAGTTACTGTAAGTATCATCCTTTTCTAAAAGTTTAAACAACTTTTCGAATGAGGAAACGAAACCCCAGAGAGAGCAGCCAGCTAAGTGACAAAGCTGGTTTCTGAACACACGGGCCCGTGTATTTGTTCATTGCATTACGTGGTGGCCCAGGGGGATGGATTTCCAACCTGGGTGTGCATAGATGAGCTTCGGGAGGCAATAAAATCTCTGGAACAATATAGAAAAGTATTAGTATGTGTGCATTTTGTGGGGAAGTGTCCAAAAACATTCATCTGCTTCTCAAAGGAGTTCTTGACCCTCAAAAGGTTAAGAGGTCCTATACTCAATGTTTTCCACTGAACCAGACCCCATGGCCCAGACTGCTTTGCTATTTGAATTGTGGTCCACGGACCAGCAGCATCAGCATCATCTGGGAGCAAAGGCAAATCTTGGGCTTCATTGCAGACCCACTGAATCAGAATCTTCTGAGGAGATTCCCTGCCCCTAATCCAGCCTGTGGAGCAAGGAGGGCTGCCTGGAGGAAATGACATATGAAATAAGTCCCAAAAGATGAGACAGAATCAGCCAAATGGCAAGGAGCTAGGTGAGGACTATTCAAGCAGAGGAAAATGCCCAGCCACAGGCATAATGAATGCAGTCTCACTCTGTTGCCCAGGCTAGAATGCAGTGGTATGAACACAGCTCACTGCAACCTTGACCTCCTGGGCTCAAGAGATCCTCCCTCCTCAGCCTCCCAAGTATCTGTGCCACCGTGGCAGGCTAATTTTTTTTACTTTTGGTAGAGACGGGGTCTCACTGTGTTGCTCAGGCTGGACTCAAACTTCTGCCCTCAAGTGATCCTCCCACCTCGGCCTCCCAAAGTGCCACGATTACAGGTGTGAGCCACCACGCCCAGCAGAGAAAATATAAAGAGAACAAAGCGGAAGTCCCTCTTCTCAAGGAGCCTGCATTCACAGTGAGGATGGTGGAATATGCATGAAAAGAGAACAGTGCCTCTCTCCCTCTGGAGGATTCTGAACATAAGCCCCTTTGCCAAAGTTCTCCTTTGAAGCCAGCCTTGTGGCTCACCTACCAATCATTGCCACCACAAGAACTGGGGATGTTTAACACGAGGTTGGCTGCCTTCCTCCCTCACCTATGAGGCCGCTGCCCAACCAGGGTGGGGAACGGGCCTGGGACTCCCTCCCTCTGCAAAGCTCCATTTGCCCCCATGTGGTGTCCTGCTCCACCCAGAGGGAGCGTCCTTCTCTGATTCTCAGGAAGGCACCTCACAGGTTCGTGGCTGCCCCGGCTCACACAGAAGCTTCAGGAAAGATCAGCTCAGGACTCTGCTTGGGAAATAGAAATGAGAAGGAGAAATTTCGTTTTGTGAGCACCTAGCATGGGCCATGCACTGTGCTGCATACCATACAAGCATTCTCTAATTTAATACCCACAACAACTCAGTGTACTCAGGGTTTTTAAATCTCTACGCATGAGAAAAACTGAGGCATAGAGAGGTGGGATGGATTCCCAAGTTGTGGGTGGCTGAAGGGTGCAAATGTGATGGAATCTGGATCCCCCCACTCCAGCCCAGCTCCCGTCTCCCCGACCTGGCAAGGCCAGGTCTCACACAGCCACTTCCTGTTTCCTCTTTTATAGCAAATGCTAAACGAGAAAGTAAAATCAATGAGAAATAATAAGCGTTAAAAAATGGCTTCATGAAAAGGCAAACTTAAAAACAGTAAAAACAAGAGTATGGCTTCAAAAAATGATTGGGAAGAATCAGCACTGGGGGCCAGGAGAGAAGATTCGCCTGAATTTTTAAATCTCAAACAAGGAAACTGAGCTGAGAGGCAAGTCAGAGGCCCAGGGCAGGAAGCACATGTTTTGAAAGATGGAGGAGGTTTTTTTCAGAGGTTGTAACACAGTTCCTACCTTCCCTTCATCTTAGTGGGCAAAGTTAGTGTTCATTGAAGTAGTACAGGAAGCCTCCTGGAGGAGGTGGCCTTTTAGCTGAACTTTGAAGTTGGGCTTTGGTTTTGAAGGGAAGTCTCCTCAGAAGAAGAGAATTATAAAGAACAAAGACATAAAGGCAAGAGATGATGTAAACTTTTAGAGGGATTAAGTACCAATCAGCCTGATTGGGGCAAGGTATTCCCCTAGGGAAGGGGTGATATGGAGGGGTCAAGAGTTGGTTTGGGACGAGCAGAGGAGAACCTCAAGCCCAATCCAGGAGTTAGGATCAAGGTCAGGCAACTGTTCCCCACGGGACAAGGATGGAGCGCTAAAGGGCCACTCCAAGAAGTCTCGGGGGCACCTGTGGCTTTGTCCCAGCTGACAGGGCTGAAGGACAGCCTCGCTGACTCAAGGTCATAAACCATGTGAGAGGCTTAAGCAGTGCCAGGCCCTGAGGGAGCTGAGTCCTTTGCTGCATAAGGACTTGGCCCAATTTTGCTCCCCTGGAGTGACTGTGTGTCACAAGGATGCAAAGCTCCTTTACGGAGGGACAATTCTTCTTGGCAGGAAGTGAGAAGTCTGGCGGGGTTGCTGACTGGCTTCTCCTCTGACTAGGGGATGGGCCTGGGGTGTCAGCTCCCTGATGGCAATGGGAGTGGGAGAAGAAGGGAGGGAAAGCATACGAGGGTGATGGCAGAGAAGGGACAGAGGGAGGAACATCGCTAGGAACTGGGGAAGGGCTTCCAGCAGGTGAAGGTCCTATGGGTAATGTCCCTCTCTTCCACCCCCACCACTCACACAAACCTACGGACACACTCATTCATACACTCAAAACACACACACAGACACATGCACACTCACACGTGTTATCAGCCAAGCTTCAGCTCAGATTAGTGAGGTTTACATCAGCCTCAGCAAAATTAGTTCCCCAAAAAAAGTCAATGCAGTGACTTTTTCACAAAGCTACATTTATTCAATTTAAAGGACTATATATGTCATTCTGAGATTATGTTGTTTCTCTCTTCTTTGATTTGGGGTGGAGGGAGGTGTTAAAGTATTCGTTCTTTTTGGGAAGGGTGGTAATAATAGATAGCAAGGGTTTTTTTTTTTCTTTGTGTCCTTTCTTGGCAAAACACAAAGCTTGTAACCCTGTATTGATTTCCAACTTTGATTGTTTCTTACGGTCTGTGAACTCCAAAGCCAGGAAATCATTGCCCTAGGTGAAACCACAGTTTCTGGAACACACCAAAGCCCATCCTGCCTCCAGGCCTTTGTGCTAGAAGCACCTTTCCCCTTCGTCTCCCTCAACATGGACTGGGCTGGTACCCTCTGACTGTTAATTCCTTCCAATGTCCCCAGCTCAGAGTCTCTTCTCTGGCAAGCCCCTCCGGGCTCTGTGCCCCAGGAGCCCAGCCCTCTGAGCCCATGTCAGCAACACCACCTAAGGGGTGGACGGTCCAGCAGAGTCCACTGGTGATGGAAAGTTTTTCTGATAGTGAAGGACTTAGTCTCTCACAGTGATAGAACGGGCTTATTAGCAATCTGACCTCCACACGGTGCTAAATCCAGTCTCCCTTGGTGCATAGCAGATCTCTTAATGGCACCTTAGACAGATTTTATAACTTTCTGGTCAATTATGATTATTAAAACCTCAGTTCATCTTAAGCTTCAATCTGGGTCCATTTTAAAGCTCCTTCCCTCCCCAGCCCTGGACAGCTTTCAGCCCAGGACCTGAAGGAGCCAGAGGCTGTGGCTGTCCTTCCTTTTCCTCTCCCTGGAGTCCTGGATAGAGAGGTGAGGACCATCTGAAGATTCCCTCTCCCTCTTCTCCTGTGTTGGGGTGGGGAGGCAGAATGAGAGGCAGCGTCTTTCTAACTGGCTGCCTTCCAAGGGCAGGGAGGTTGTTATGAACCAAACTGAATCCCTACCAAAATTTGTTTGTTGAAACCCTAACCCCCAATGTGACTGTATTTAGAGATAGGGCCTGTAATGTGGTGGATTAAAGTTAAATATGGTCATAAGGATGGAGCCCTCATCCTATGGGACTGATGTTCTTTTAAGGAGAAAAAGAGACAACAGAGATCTCTCTCTTTCTCTCCCTCTCTCTCTGAACACAGGAAAAACCAGGTGAGGACGTACTCAGAAGGCAGCTGTCTGCAAGCCAGGAAGGGAGGCCTCACCAAAAACCAACCCTGCCAGCACCTTGATCTTAGACTTCCAGCCTCCAGAACCATGAGAAAATAAATGCCTGTTTTTTAAGCCACGCAGTCTGTGTTATCTTGTTAGGGCAGCCTGAGCTAAGAAGGGGTTCTTCTGGGTCTCTCTCGCTGCCTCAGCCTGGCTCCGTGGACTGTGGGCCACCTTTGTCTGAGTGCATAGTTTATTTCAGGGCATTTCACGCCAGTTAGGTCCTTTCTGGGTCATGACCAGGTGTGCTGAGGTTAGGGACAATTGTATAACATCACGTGGCATGAAGTAAGGAAACAGCTTTTTTGGAGAAAGGGAAAACTTAGCAAGTCGAAGTTGACCAGAGAAGGGAAGGAAGGTACAGACCTCCTTCCCATCGCCCCACCGAGATGCCCAGCCTGGACCTGGAAGTGTGTCCCATTGCAGTGGACACAGTCCTCCCAGTCTGCTCTCTCTTTGAATTGAGCAGATGTGGAGCAACGTGGTTGGTGGTAAAAGAGATTGCTCTGGTGCCAAGTAGGTTGAGGGGTGCCTACTGTTTGCAGAACTGACTGGGGAAGCCAGACACCCGGCACCCAGAGAGTTCCTGGAATCACTTTCTTGACAATCTTGCTTGTTGTGCCACGGGTGGTGTCCAGACTGGACTGGCCCTCCATTGGTGATGACAGGGAGGGCAAGGGAGTCTCCCTCCCACCCTCCTGAGGTCCATGTCCTCAACCCTTCCCCTGCCAGGACTCCCCTCCTTAAGCTCCTGCCTCCTGCTCTACCCTCCAGGGTCCTTCGCCTGAACCCCGGGACCTCGGGAGAGCAGCCACCACACCCACCGTCCGGAAGAACTCTGTCCCACTATGTAGACTCTCCCAGCTGCCACCCAAGGCTGCTGCAGCCAATCCCCCTCTACCAGAGACTCCAAGGAAGAAGCAGGCATCAGGGTCCAGGCTCTTTTTCACCTCTAACTCCCGCAACATGCACCAGCTGCCTCACACCCCGTTCCAATGGTCCCCCAGGGTGAGCCTGGCAGCGCCCCAGCTCCACAGGAATCCAATGGGGGAGACAGCATGTACAGACCCAGTTTCTAGGAGTGCTGTCTTATCCCCCATCACTGCCTCTAGAAGAGGATTCTCTCCTACTCAGACAAAAAAGGAAGACAGAGCTCCCTGCAGACCAATGAGCCACAACTGCCAGGTCCTCCTCTCGGCACACAGGTGGAGGAGACGGAGGCTGGGGCCATGATTGGTAACAGCTCAGCCAGTTCTATTACCTCTGAGTAGGCCTCAGGGGACGTGTGGACAGAGCTGGGCCTGAGCCATCCATTCTGAGCCACAGTAGAAGCCCCATGGACACATGGACATCCCATTGCAGGGGAGGCCTGGCAGGAAGATGGGCCACTAATGGGAGGAGGCTTAGCAGAAGACACTCAGTTCCTACCCATTCCCATCCCCTAAGGGCTGGCCCAGACCCCAAAACCCTCTGGAACCTGCTCTCCATCCTCCCATCTGCCAGGGATGAAAACGCTCTCATCACTTGGACACACCCTAAATCCAGGGAGGACTGATGAGAATACAAACACAAGTTGCCATGTGCTATGGGCTGAACTGAATCCCTCCCAAATTCCTGCGTTGAAGCCCTAATCCCCTGTACCTCAGAATGTGACTAGATTTGGAGATCAGCCCTCTAAAGAGGTAATTAAGGTAAAATGAGGTCACTAGGCTGGGCCGTGATCCAATGTGACTGGTGTCCTCAAAAGGAGGCAATGAGGACGACACACACAGAGGGCAGACCACATGAGGACACAGCAACAGGAGACATCTGCCAGACAAGGAGAGAGGCCTCAGAAGGAACCGACCCTGCCAGCACCTTGATCTTGGACTTCCAGCCCTCACAACTGTGAGTAAATAAGTTTCTGTTGTTTAAGGCCCCCAGTCTGTGACTTCATTACAGTGTTCTTGTGAACCGACATGCCACACCTCTTGGTGAGAGAGAGAGATGTGAAGCCCTTTACCTCACTTGACCTCATTTGAGTGTCATTAGCACTCAATATTGAATCAGGGTGAAGATACGCATGCAGAGCCAGGGTCATTGTACCCATTTCAAAGTTGGAAATGTTGAGTCTCAAAGCCATTCCGGGAGAACATTGGGCCTTCCCACATCCTGATCCAGGGATCTTTCCTCTTGGCCATGTTTCCTCCCTGTTGGCTTTGACCTGGGCAGGCCATGCTTGTGTACTATATGGGCTCAGGCCACTCCCCAGCATCCACTGGGCCTTGGAGGAGGTCAGCTCCTTCTCCAGCCACATCCTGCCCTCCCTCACCCTGCACCATCCCAGGCTGCTCTTAGCAGTCAGCCACTCTGACAGCCATTCTGGATGTCATTGTCTCCCTGAATGTCCATGTCCACCTCTCCCTTCAGGATCATCCTGCACGGGGCTTGGATGTTGACAACAAGCTGAGCCTGTGTCCATGGACCTACTAGATGTTAACGACTTGGTTAGAAGATGGGGGCAGTAGGAAAGCTCATTTAGTGAGGGAGACACTGGTATCACCAACCCTAGGGTTTGGAAAAGGAGAACAACCAAGAGGGGTGCTGGGGAGCAGGGCTAGAAAGAAGGGGAGGGGAGAAACTTAAGAAATAAGAGAAAGAGGGAAGAAAAGGAGAGAGGGAGAGGGATGTGAAAGATAAGAGGAAGGGTCAGGCTGTCCCTGGTAGGGAAAACCAACGTGGCGGAGCAAGAAAAGTCCTCCACACCCTATTCCAGCCCCATGGGTGTCACTGCAATCTGTGATGTGCAAAGAACCTCTCTGAACTTAAGGAGTTACAAAACACCAGAGAGGTGATTACTTTGTGTCTGCCCTCAGCCTTCACTTCTCTTATTATCTGCAATAGACTAAATAATTATGCCCCCCACTCCAAAGTCATATGCTGAAATCCTAACCCTCAAGGTGACATTAGGGGTAAGATCTTTGGGGGGTGTTGAGGTCATGAGGGTGGAGCCAAATAATTATTCCCCCCACCCCAAATTTCCTTATACTGAAATCCTAAAGCCCAAGGTGATATTAGGGGTGAAAGCTTTGGGGGCTGTTGAGGTCATGAGTTGGAGCCTTCATGAATGGGACTAGTGCTATTATAAAAGAGACCCCAGAGAGATCCCTCTCCTATTCCACCGTGAAGACTCAGCAAGAAGGCGCCATCTATGAACCAGGAAGTGGCCCTCGCCACACACCAAATCTGCTGGCGACTTGATCTTGGACTTTCCAGCCCCCAGAACTGTGAAAAATAAATATCTGTTGTTTAGAAGCCACCCAGTCTATGGTATTTGGTTATAGACCCCAAATAGACTAAGACTCTATTCTTCCCTTGTCCTTAATATCCTTCCCCCCTTTTCATTTCCCTTTTCCTTACCAACCCTGCAGCCCCCACCCCTCTCCTTGGCAGAACAAATCCACATTTTCTTCTATTGATTTGCTCTCTCTCTGCATAAAGTGTGCAGAACAAGCACAGTGCACAATGTTCTTTCTGTTGGGCGGCTGTGCGGCTTGATGAATGTGCGAGACAGACGCTGGCTGCTGTACAATGCCTGACGGCAGGGCATGCATATCTTCACTATGATTCAGACGCTTGCATTCAATTGTGTATTTACACAGGCTGGGGATATTTATAGACAAGAGCATCCATAGATTGTGGCTTACAGTGGCCTTGGCCCTTTGACCTGAAATCGAAGGGGACCTTACAGAAATTATGCCACCTATTCTTGAAACAGTTCTAAAAGGGAATGGGAAGAAATGTTTTCCCTGCTTTTCTAGGCAAAGACTGCTCAGAAGGACAATATTACCAGCTATCATTTACTGAGCAGCTATTATGGGCTAGGGTTTTACATATGTTACATCTCATCTTTTTAACAAATCTCTGAATAGATATTTGTATCCATAGTTTACAGACAAGGTTCAGATAGGTTAAGAAACTAGCTGAGGTTCAGATAGGTTAAGAAACTTCTCCTGAGTCCTACAGAAGTCACTGGTGAATCCAAGGCCAGAGCCTGTGCTCTTTCTGAAATACCATGGAGGGGGTTTCATATCACCTTAAACATAGAAGCCAGCCACAGCCAGTTTGTCTGTTCCTCACCATGAAATAGAAACTTGCCTCATCTTCATACATCTTTGTATTCTCCTAGCCCAGCACATTTTTCTGTGTACAAAAGATGTTCAATATATGGTTATGGATAATGAGAAACCCATACAGGCAAACAAAATCTTGATTAACCAGAACCCTGCCAACTGAAACTCTCAAGTAACTAAAATAAAATTGTAGAGCTTCTATTTTAAGTGAAACAAGCAAATCACAGCACAATACACTTGTATCTGACTGTCATTTCAGGTCAGTGGACTAGGTAGGCAGTTGAACGGGTGCATGGAGGAATGCAGGCATGCTTGCAGTGGGTCAGTGTCCTGCCCAGCCTGTGTATCCAGTCGCTATCTTGCTCAGAGAGAACTGATAGCTATGAGGCTGACCCCAAGGCCCAAGAAAACTGTTATTCAACAGAATCAAGAGTCAGGACTGGGGACCTACTATGTCCTTGGAAATGCACCACATGTTGAAGGGAGTATAGAATTATAATTATGTTCCTAACATGTACATTACATTATAGTAATGGAAGCAGAAAATCGTCAGAAAACTTCAATGGTCAGGGTGGAAAAGCACAGTATATTGAGTTGACTCTTAGTTAACTTGACAATTCAATTACCCAAGTTAACCAGTCTCAGTTAATCAAGGTTACAATGCAATTGAGATTCACCCTACAGATTACTTGTACCCTGATGACCAAATGTTCCATAAATGTGTCCTTCCTCAATGTAAAATGGAAGTGTAGCTTTCACTTCTCATCAGTTTCACCCACTGGCCACTTGCATCAGTGGCTCCTCAAATCCCCTAATACAGCAATTTCTACCTATGTTTCTGAGCTTGAGGAGGGGGTGAGAAGAGACCAGGCTGCACAGTCAGCCAGGCCTGAGCTTGACCTAGACCATCTACTTAGTACTGCATGACACTGGGCAAACTTATTTGCCCTTCAGGGCCTCAATTTCCTCACCTTTAAAGTGGGGATGACAACACCCACTCCCTTGAGTTATTTATTTACTCATGTAATAAATACAGCAAGGTCCTCACCTTGCTGTAGACAGGCTTTAAGGAGGTTGATGAGATTACATTAGAGAAACAAGCTAAAGGTTAAAACTGATAGCAAGAGAAGAAAGGGAATTAAGGTAGGGATAATCAAAAGCTGGAATCGAGGCTGGAAAAAGTGAGGATGACAAAGATCTAGGAGTTGCCCATGCACGTGACTCCAAGCATCATAGAAACCAGTGTGAAAAGGAAAGGCTGGTCTTTTATACAACTCACAGGGTTCCTAAGAGAAACACCAGGTGATCAGGACAGAGGTGCACTTGGCCCTGAGAGCAGAGGGGAAAATGCCTTCTTAGACACCTCTTAAGGAGGCCCCTACATGATGTAATGAGCAACATCGTTGAAGTAAACACCCCATTTTCTTTTCAACCACTCCATTGTGGGCTGGGAGCATCCCATCAAAGCCTCATTCAGTAAAAGCTGCTGAATTCAGGGGAGAGGTCAGGGGAAGGGCAGAGTGATGAGAGCTCAGTGCCCGACTCCAGTGGTACAACTTGATCTGGGACACATTTTAGACTATGTAAACTTTAGACTCCAGATTGTCACTTGAAAAATTCTTTAAGGTATCATTTCTCTTAGCTGAGTTCTTTTTTCTTTGCTAACTTAATTTTCAACAATGAGTTCAGTATTGTTTACTCCTCAGAAGCACCTGTGGTGCCACAAACCTGGGCTGCCCATCAAACCCATGCATCTCAACCAGCAACAGAGCCAAGAGTAAATGTGAAGTCCTCTTATTGGAGCTGAGCTGAGCAGCCCTCAAGGAGAAAGCCTGAAGGAAGCCATCCCTCCTCCAATTGACAGTGCCATCCAAAAGGCAAGGCCAAGATTCTCCTTTGTAAAGGAGTCTTGGGTCAATTCCAGTATGTAGATAAACGGGTGAGCAAGGCTACACCATAGAGAATGGCCATAAGGATTTCGGTCTGGAATTTTTTTTCAATTTCATTTAATTTTAAGTTCTGTTATACATGTGCAGGACAGGTAGGTTACATAGGTAAACATGTGCCATGGTGGTTGACTGCACCTATCAACCCATCACCTAAGTATTAAGCCCAGCATGCATTAGCTATTTTTCCTGATGGTCTCCTTCCTCTCACCCTCCTCCACCAGGCCCCAGTGTGTGTTGTTCCCCTCCGTGTCCATGTGTTATCATTGTTCAGCTCCCACTTATAAGTGAGAACATGCAGTGTTTAATTTTCTGTTCCTGTGTTAGTTTGCTGAGGATAATGGCTTCCAGCTCCATCCATGTCCCTACAAAGGACATGATCTCATTCTTTTTTATGGCTGCATAGTATTCCATGGCATATTTCTACCACATTTTCTTTATCCATTCTATCATTGATGGGCATTTGGGTTGATTCTACGTCTTTGCTATCGAGAATAGTGCTGCAATGAACACAGGCATGCTTGTATCTTTATAATAAAACGACTTGTATTCCTTTGTGTATATGCCCAGTAATGGGATTGCTGGATCAAATGGAATTTCTGGTCCTAGATCTTTGAGGAATCACCACACTGTCTTCCACAATGGTTGAACTAATTTACATTCCCACCAACAGTATAAAAGTGTTTTTATTTCTTCACAGCCTCGCCAGCATCTGTCGTTTCTCGACTTTTTAATAATCGCCATTCTGACTTAGCTTGGAATTTTTTAAGTTGATGTGCACAAGAGCAAAATGTATAGGCTTTCAAAGCAAACACTTACATATGCCAAGCTATTCTCAGGACCCTACCTACAATAAGTCACATAAGCTCACCAAGGAGGTGGGACCTATTACTATTCACAGTGTACAGAAGAAGAAAATGAGCCACAGGGCCACACAGCTAACAAGTGGCAAAACCTAGACTTGAACCCAAGCAGTTGGAAGCAAAGTTCATGCTCCTAACCACACACTATTTTTGCTTATTAAGCAGTTGAAGTACTAGAAAAATCTACCAAAATTAGTAATGTTGCTTTCGTGATTGTTGCTCTGAAGGGCTCCTTCCAGCAGTTTACTAGTAGTTATCAGACCTCTTGTCTCTCCAGTCCACTCCAAGTTCAACGCAGTGGAAAGTGTGATCTGAATAAAAATGATGTGTGTCTTTCCATTCATCATAGCAGTGGGCTCATGCCCCGCTCATCCACGGGGATATCAAATCATTAAGAAACAAATTGAAATGGTGGGGTTCAAAACACTTCCCTGATTTTACTGCTCCATCTACTGCCCCTGACTGTGATTATACAATAATAGTATCAAGTATGTAGAAGCATCAAGAACTGCGGGTCTTTGATGAGCTCATGTATCCGTTCTTAATCAATATGAAGGCTTGGGAAGAGTCAACAAAAACCACACATGATCGGATATTGCTCCTGGTGGACTTCACCACCAGGTGATAATTGGTTAAAAACATGGTCTGTGGTTGAAAGACCTATCAAAGAGCCTGTCTGCTTCTCACATAAAACACTGGCCTGGAAACCCCAGGCTTCATGCTCATTCATCAAGTATACATTATCTATAAAATATCCAAAAATTGATAAATCTTTTAGGAGAAGTAAAGAGATGTCTTTTGTGTGTGTGATGGGATAAAATACAATCATAGATTCAATAAAAGTGAGCAAGATATTATGGCTCGGAACCCATCTTTCAGAAAGTTTATTTGGCCAGGCACAGTGGCTCATGTCTGTAATCCCAGCACTTTGGGAGGCCGAGGTGGGGGGATTGCTTGAGGCTAGGAGTTCAAGACCAGCCTGGCCAGCATGGCGAAACCCGGTCTCTACTAAAAAATACAAAAATTAGTCAGGCGTGGTGGTGTATGCCTATAATCCTACATACTCAGGAGGCTGAGGCATGAAAATCACTTGAGCCTGGGAGGCGGAGGTTGCAGTGAGCTGAGATCACGCCACTGCACTCCAGCCTGGGCGACAGAGTGAGATTCTGTCTAAAAAAACAAAAAGAAGAAAGTGTATTAACAGCTCTGGGTACAAATGATCTTTCTCTGGTGTTGTATTCAGCAACAGGTTTTAAATTAACTATACAACGTGAGGGGCTGGACCAAGAGCAAACTAGTCTCTGCAAAAATTGGGACAGATGCTTTTAAGCCTCCAACTCTCAACTGGAATCAGTGCCCCAGAGTCTTACTCCCCAAGTTTGTGCCACAGGTAATTGTCCTAAAATCTGTTTTTATTGCCAGAACTATCAACCACATTAAGGTCATCTCACTAAATTTTACTACAACTTAATGTTTTCCAACCAATGTAAAATTTATAACTGACTTTAAATTTGATAAGGTCCTCGTTGGAGGCTTCTGATTTTTTGTTTGCAAAGTTCTTCACCAATTCAGACACCATTTTTCCACCCCTTTAAAAAGTTCTTTTCAAACTAGGGAGGATAAAGCTCATTTTTACTGAAACACTTGGTACCTAAACCCAACTTTACATTTTCTACATTCTGCTAGGAAGTGAGACATCTACCTTAAGGGCTCAGAGATGAAATATGTTGAAATCCCAGAACGTCAGAAAGCTCTTCTGCCTGTCCTACACTTCCCAACCTCATAAACTTTCCAGGTCAAAGTTGTGGACCTGTAGGTTCTAGGATAGCCATGCCCAAGGCTTACACAAGAGAGGCATATTCCCGGGCTGGGCGCGGTGGTTCACGCCTGTAATCCCAGCACTTTAGGAGGTTGAGGTGGGTGGATCACCTGATGTTGGGAGTTCGAGACCAGCCTGACCAACATAGAGAAACCCCGTCTCTACTAAAAATACAAAATTAGCCAGGCATGGTGGCGCATACCTGTAATCCCAGCTCCTCGGGAGGCTGAGGCAGGAGAATTGCTTGAACCCAGGAGGTGGAGGTTGCAGTGAGCCAAGATCGCACCACTGCACTCCAGCCTGGGCAACAAGAGTGAAACTCGGTCTCAGAAAAAAGAAAAAGAGCGAGAGAGAGAGGCACACTCTCTTTCTACCTGATTCAGATCTTATACCCTTTGGGTGCTGTAAACTCAAGATGGGCTGACAACAAGAGTCAATCATGCTAGAGGTAGCACAGTCGAGAAGAGGTATAGGTAAAATTTCCCCCAGATGTATTCCACAACCATACAACACCACAGGTTCTATGCATAACTGGGTTTGTTAGGAAATTTTTCTTTCAATGGATCCAACTGTCTCTGGGGGATTCATCCCACAGAGAAGTGAGTCGCCCATCCCCCAGAGGACCCCAGTGAGGCTCAAGCAGACTAGCAGCCAAATCTAATGCTCCAGACCCCCAAAACAATCAGCCCCAAGATGAATAAGAATAACGTTCAAAATAACATTTTTAAAAGACCATGTGTCCAAACATGCTGTGCATGTCCTGGCAGGGGAAGCTGAGTGTTAAGACAAATCACATCCAACTTGCCAGGGAACAGGATCAAGACTAGAAGAAAAATATCCCTGTCATGTGAGCCAGGCAATCTGACAACGTTTCCCCCAAGTCTGACAGAGATAAGAGTGGCCAGTCTACTTTTACTGCTGCCAAAGTTATTTTTTCCCTGATGGCTGGAGAGATAAAAGACCTGAAACCATAAATATGAGCAGGTGAATTTGTAAAATCCAGATTCCTTTCAAAAGGAAACGGTTTATTTAAAAAACAAACAAACAAAAAGACAACTTCAAACAGGAAAAACATCCAAGCTGTTATCTTTAGGGTCCCAAATGGCCACATTCCCAGAAGGAAATTGTAACCATTGTAGAGCTCATTCCAGGATGTGTACCAGGTCTAAACAATGCTGACATCACTTAGGCTGGTTGGCTGGGCACCTACCAAGGTATCTTCTTTCTATGAAGCAACAGCCCTCCTATTTGGCAAGAACATCCCAGCCAAAGGGGAGGTTCTTCAAGGAATTGAGATAGCCCTGGAAGCATTAACTGTGGAGATGAACAGAGGAAAACGCATACTGGCTCTTACCAGGAAGAGAAGAATCACATACTCTGCACAGAAGGCTGAGGGGTGGTAGTGAGACCATCCTCCATCAGGAATGAGCAGAAAAGGGGAAATGTGGTTGTGTTTGATGGCAGCAAAGGGGAGGGTGATCACACCGGTTGAGTGGTGGGGAGACCGCAAGCTGAGGGAGCTACTTCAGTGGGGAACTTCATAGAGACCTGATGGGGATTTGAAGTATGATTAGGTGGATTCAGAGCTGAAAGTGGATTGAGCTACCTGTCAGGGACTCTGTCCTCCACTAGTGAATTAAGCCAAAGAACCTTGTCATTCACTGTCAGAGATAACCTCATGCAGTGAGAGCACAAAGCACTGTGTCCATAATCTAGTAAAAGGAGGACACTGTCCCCTAAGAGCTGCCAGGAGCAAAGCTGGGGGCATCCAATCCATTTTTAACAGCCCAATCAGGGTGACCATGGCTCCCATGCTACAGCAAGGGAGCTGGGAAGAGCCACGATGCAGGTTGGCCCTCCCATGGTTCAACCAAGAAAGGAGATGGAGCAACAAGACAATAGACTGGGGTGACTCTCACAGGTATCAGCACTATCTGTTTCTTCATCAAGGTTGAGCAAGAGAAGTCACATGCATCTTCTCTCCCGGGATATGACTCCCTCATGCCAATCCTCCTAAATCACAACACACTGATTGATTGGCATATATCGTAGTCCACTCAAGCTGCTGCTATAACAAAATGTCAAAGACTGGGTGGCTAAAGCAACAAAAATTTATTTTCTCACATTTCTGGAGGCTGGAAGTCTGAGATCAGGGTGCCAACATGGTCAGTTTCTGGTGAAACCTCTCTTCCTGACTTGCAGACAGTCCCCCTCTCACTGTGTCTTCACACGGTAGAGAAAAAAGCAGCAGGCTCTGTGGTGTCTCTTCTTATAAAGTCACTAATTCCATCATGAGCCCCAACCACATGACCTCATCTAAATCTAATTCTTTCCCCAAAACTCCGTCTCCAAATACCATCACACCAGGGGCCCAGAATTCTGGGGGGACACCATTCTGTTCCTAGCAGCATGATTTTCTGTGAATCCAGGCATTCTCTGTGTTATGGGTCTTCACTCACAAGCAACGCTGTTTCAACATGCCAACCTTAATGTTAGCATCATGAGGCTTATGGTTCTATGGTGGCATGAGAAGTAATAATAGACAAAGTGACTGCATAAAATACATGTTCATCAAATATCTGTCCCTCATCCCAACTGCCATCCCCTTGTCTTCCACAGCCTGTTTCCAAACCCTTTGCTCTGATCTTAAATCTCAAAGGTCTTCTAAATTCCAGACATTCTGGTTCCTGAAAATTCAAAAGGGACAGGACACCAGCCCCTGAAAGAGGGACTATTGTGGAAACACTGGAGATAGAGGAAGAACAGGGGAATCTATCCACTCACAAGTTATGCAAAGAGAAGAGACTCCAGCCATCACCAATATGTATTTCTTGAGACTAGCCCTATGCTAGGTACATAGTGGGAAACAGGGGAAGACAGGGGAAGGCCCTCAAAGAGCTCGCATAACCCAAAAAGAGGAGCAATGACTTTGTAATTTACATGGTACTGGCTCTAAGTGCTGAAAGAACTTGGAGGAAGGAGAGATCTGAGTCAGCCACAACAATCAGAGAAGGAATTACGGGAGAAGAAACATGGGAGCTGGGGCTTGAAAGACAGAAAAACATTTCAGAGAGGAAAGAGGAGGGTTTCGTCAAGCAGGAACCAGCATGAGCAGAAGGACAGAGGCAGAGATCTGGCAGAAGGAGAAGACATGAGGAGACCAGGGTGGCAGGGTGTTGGGATGCATTCATTTATTGACTCATCTTTTCCTTCATTAATACATATTTATTGAGCACCTATTATATAACGGACACTATTGTAGGTGAAAGGGACTCAGCAGTGAACCAAAAAATCCTTGCTCTCATGGAACTTACATTCTAGTAGGAATAAAAAAAATATATACATAACATCAGTGGTGACAATAATTATGAAGAAAAATAAAGGAAACCAGGGTTTCCAGTCAGAATGGAGTAAGAAGGACCATGACCCTTCTTTCTGAGACATTCGAACTATTTACAAAATATAAAATGCAATGGTTTTGAAGACACTGAACATTAGGCAACAAAGGACAATGATTCCTGAGAGACAAGAAACAGGTGAGCTCTACAGTAGTCCCAACTTGAGAGAATTTCTAGGTCAAGGCACAAGGAGGAGGAACAGATGGAGCCCAGAAGACATTTTTAGTTGAAGAGACAGAGAGCTTGGAGTCCAGGGAAACCAAGGCAGATAGTTGCCAAAATGGAGTAGAAACAGAGAGAGATGCAAGGAGAGATAACTTTGGATATCAGGACAGGGCTCCTACTGAGTAGTCAGCTGAGTACTGATCAGCATGTATGTGTGTGGAAAATGTCCAAGACCAGGGAAAGAACCATCCGAAAGGATTGAAGGAAACAGTGCCCACTGCTCACACAGGGCCAGAGACAGTGCCTATTCCCATCAGCCGCACTGTAAAACCTTATAACTCAGAGCCTTGCCTCAGTAGTGAGGAATGCCTAGACTGAGCATTGCTTTGGTTCCATCTAACAAATCTTAAGCCCAAGACCCGAAAGAAGTCAAACTGTTTCCAAGTCACTTGACTCCACCACAGAACTAAGCTCAAGAATATTTATATGAAAACACAAATATCCAGCACCTAAGTAATATTCACAATGTCTGACAACTGATCAAAAATTACCAGGCATACAAAGAAATAGGAAAATATAACCCACAATGAGAAAAAAAATCAATCAATTGAGATCAACTCAAAAATGACACAGATATTAGAACTGGCAGACAATAACATTAAATGGTTATTATGACTGTAATTCAAAGAGTTAAGTAGAGACATAAATGATAGAAAGATAATTGGAATTCTATAGATGGAAACTACAATGTGTGAGATAAAATTACACAGTGTGGGATTAAAATCCCATTAGACATTTCGGAAGAAAATGGTAGCAAATTTTGAATACATATCAATAAAATCTATTCTAAATGAAACTCAGGGAGACAAATAACTTTACAAATAAACACAGCATTACTAAGTTATGGGATAACTCCAAGTGCTCTCACGTATGTGTAATTGGAGTCAAAGAAGGAGAGGAAAAAAGGGAAGACAGAAAAATATTTGAAAAAATAATGGCTAGAAATTTTCCAAATCTAATAGTCAAATTGCACAAAACCAACAATAGAGAGAAAACTTTGAAAGCAGCCAGAAAAAGAAGCCCACATTTTGGGTACAGCAGAACAGGATACTATGTGAGCAGATAACTCATCAAAAACAATGCAAGCCAGAAAGCAGTGAAGCAACAACTTTAAGTTACTGAAAGAAAAATTTGTCAACCTAGAATTCTGCAGAAGCAAAGATATCTTTTAAAACCAAAGGCAAAATAATAACTTTTGAGACATGAAAAAGCTGAGAGAATTTATCACCAGAAGATCCAGAGTACAAGAAATGTTAAAGAAAGTCCTACAAGCAGAAAAAAAAATGATACTAGATGGAACTAGATATCTACAGAAAAGAATGAATAGCCCTGGATACGGCAAATACATAGGGAAATATGTAAAATTGTTTTTTATTATTTAAATATCTTTTAAAGATAGCTAATTATATAAAAATAATAACAATGTAGCCTGGGGTTCATAACATAAATAAAAGTAAACAGTGTAGCAACAACAGCACAAAGAACATTAGAAGAGAAATAGAAGTATATTATTATAAAGCTCTGATGTTATTCATGAGGTACTTATAATACCACTTAAAGGTAGAATGATAAACTAAATATGTATATTAAAAATCCTAAAGCAACCACTAAAATAACAAAACAAAGAGTTATAGAAAATCACTTTATAAATTAAATAATAAAAATAATCAATTACTCCAAAAGATAGTAGAAAAGAAGAAAATAATAAAAAGAATAGATAAAACAAATATAAAAAACTAGCAAAATAATAGATTTAAGCAACTATATTAATAGTCACATTAAGTGCAAAGGTCTGAATACTCCAACAAAAAGCAGAGATTTTCAGCTGCGTACTGCTCACAAGAAACTTTAAATATAAAAGCACAATTATATTAAAAGCAAAAGCATGGAAAAAGTACTATGCTAACACTGATCAAAAAACACTGCAATGGCTATACTACTATCAAAGTAGATTGTAGAGCAAAGAATATAATCAAAGGTAAAGTAGGTTATTTCATAATGATAAAAGGGCCAATTCATCAAAAAGACACAGCAATGCCAAAAAGGTAATGCACCTAATAATAAAGTTTTAAACTACATGAAGCACAGACTGACAAAACCGTAAGCAGAAATAGACAAATCTCCAATTTTAGTAAAGAATTTCAATGCTTACTTCTCAATAATTGGTAGAACAAACAGAAAGGAAATCAGTAAGGACATAGACTATTTAAGCAACTTTATCAACCAACGGTACCTAATTGATATTTATAGAAAAGTACACCCAAAATAAGTACAAGAAAGGAAATAATAAAGATGACAGCCAAAATCAATGAACTAGAAAACAGAAAAGCAATATAAATATTAATAAAATCAAAAGATGTTTTTTGAGATCAATAAAATTGATTAATTTCTAGCCAGATTAATCAAGAAAAAGGAGAGAAAACATGAAATACCAATATCAGGAATTAGAGAGGTTATATCACTACAGATTCTGCAGATATTAAAAGGATAATCAGAGAATCTTACGAAAAACTTCGTGCCAATAAACAAGCAACTTAAATAAAATGGACATGTTCTTTGAAAGAAAAAAACCATCAAAGCTCAATGAAGAAAAAGTTGGTAACTTAAGTAAACTTATATGTATTAAATAAATTTCTTCCCACCAAGAAAATTCCAGATGCAGATGATTTTGCTGGTATATTCTATCAAAATGTTAAGGAATAAATAATAACAATTCAATACAAACTCTCCCAGAAAATTGAAGAAGAGAAACACTTCCTAATTCATTCTCTGAGGTCAGGGTTACCCTGATACCAAAACCAGATAAAGATATTTCAGTAAAACTACAGACCAATATCCCAACAATTGGATGTCTATAGGAAAAAAAGTAAACTCCAATCCATACCTTAGCATGATATACAACCTGCTTCATTTTCTTGACAGGTTGCATGTAGAGAGGGAGAGGAAGAGAGAAGTCAAACATGATTCTAGCTAATTAAAAATGGATCATAAACCTAAATATACAGCCTGAAATTATAAAACTTCTAGAAGAAAATACTATATAAGTAAAAGCTTTTGTCCCTGGGTTAAGCAAAGATTTCTTAGGTCTAACACAAAAGCAGTATCTATAAAGGAAGAAATTGATATATCAGACTTCAAAATTTAAAACTTCTGATCTTTGAAAGACACTGTTAAGAGCATGAGAAGACATGCCACACACTGGGAGGAAGAGCATACATCTGATAAAGAATGTGTATCCGGAGTATATAGAGAACTCTCAAGATTCAAAAAGAAGAAAATAGATAACCCAGTAAAATAATGGATTGGTGAACACACCCTAAGATGACCTCCAATGAGTCATGCCCTTGTTTAATCATCTGCCTTTGAGTACACATAGATTCTGCAACTTGCTTTTAACCAATAGAATATGGCAAAGATGATGGGCTATCACTTCATGATTACCTTATGTTACGTAAGACTCCGTCTTAGCAGACTTGCCTGCTGGCCTTGAAGAAGCAAAAAGCCATGTTTTAAACTGCCTATGGAGGGGGCCACATGGCAAGGTATGGCAGACAACGTCTAGCAGCTAAAAGACAGCTAGTAGGAAGCCAGGGCCCTCAGTCACACTGCTCCAAGATAATCCTGCCAACAACCTGATATGCTTGGAAGTGGATTTGTCCCTAGCCTAGCCACCAGATGAGAAATCAGCCTGGCTGACACCCTGATTACAACCTGGTAAGACCCTGAGCAGAGGACTCGGCTAAACTGTGCCCAGACTCCCAATGCACAAAAACTGTGGGATAACAAATGAATGTTGTTTAAAGCCACTACGTTTGTGATAGCTTGTTATACAGCACCAGAAAACTAATAGTCATGCAACACGTAACAATGTTTTGGTCAGTGATAAATCACATATATGATGGTGGTCTCACAAGATTATAATTCCATATTTTTACCGCACCTCTTCTACTTTTACATGTATAAACACTTGCCAGTATGTTACAGTTGCCTACAGTATTCAGTGCAGTCACATACTGTACAGGTTTGTAGCCTAGGAGCAATCAGCTATGCCATCTAGCCTAGTGTATGGGAAGCTACGCAGATTGAGTATCCTTTATCTGAAATGCTTGGAACAAGAAGTGTTCCAGATTTCAGACTCCTTTAGATTTCGGAATATTTGCATGTACATAATGAGATATCTTGGGGATGGGACCCAAGTCTAAGCACAAAATTCATTTACATTTCATATAAACCTTTCATGACTATCCTGAAGGTAATCTTATACGTATTGTATAATAACGGGCATAAAGCAAAGTTTTGACTGCAACCTGTCACATGAGGTCAGGCGAGGAATTTTCTACTTGTGGCATAATGTCGGCACTCCAAAAATGTTTCAGATTTTGTAGCATTTCAAATTTCAAATTTTTAGATTAGGGATGCTCAACCTGTACCACTTAAGTTTATGTAAGTACACACTATGATGTATTCACAATGACAAAATCACGTAAGAATACATTTCTCAGAATGTATCCCCATCATTAGGTGACACATTACTGTCCACAGACAAAACTTCTGAACAGATGCTTCACCAAATGAAGTATATGGGTGGCAAATAAGCACATGAAAAAGATGCTAAAATAATAAGCACATGAAAAAGATTACTAAAATAATTAGTAATTAGAAAAATCCAAGTTAAAACCACCATGAGATATCACTACATACCTTTTAAAGTTGCTGAAAGTGTTGGCGAGGACATGGAGGAACTGGAACTCGCCTTCACTGCTAGTTGATCTGTAAAATGTAAAAAGCTTTGTTGGAAAACAGTTTGACAGTTTCCTAAAAATTAAATATACACCTACCAGTCATTCCTCTCCTAGGCATGTACCCAAGAGAAAGGAAAACATGTGTTCATACAATGCCTTGCCCATGAATGTTCACAGCATCTTTATTTGTAACAGCAAAAACTAGAAATGTCCCACACAGCAGTAGGTGAATAGACAGGTACACAATAGAATACTACTCAGCGATAAAAAGGAATGAACTACCGATACCTGCTACAACATGAAGAAGTCTCTAAATAATTGTGTTGAGTGAAAGAAACCAGGCAAAAAGGAATATATACTGTTTGATTCTACTTGTATTAAATTATAGAAAATGCAGACTAATCTATAGTCACAGAAAACAGATCCGTAATTGCTTGTGTATGGGAGAGAGGCAGGAGGGAGGATTACAGAGCAGCTCAAGTCAACATTTGCCAGTGATGGATAGGTTCATTACCTTGATTGTGGGGATGGTTTTGCTGATGTATATGTTATATCAAAACTTATCAGATATGTGTAGTTTACTGTGTGTCAATTATACCTTAATAAAGCTCTCAAATTTAAAAAACAAAAAGAATAATTGGGGAATAGAGAATGACAAAGGGTGGTGTTTTTGATAGGAGGTTCATGGAAAACTCTCTGGGAAGGTACCATTTGTGTAGACCCAAATGAAGTGAAGGAGTGAACAATGTGACCAGCTTTGGAGAAGAACATTTCAGGTAGCAGGAAGAGCAGATGCAAATGCCCTAGACTAGGACTGTGCTGGGCACGTTAGAGTATGATGTGGCTGCAAGAGAGTGAACAAAGGGCAAAGGAGGTCAGAGAGGTAGAGAAGGCCTAGATCATGTAGAACTTATCGTTTTTTCACTGACCCGGTGAGGTGGGGGTGGGGGGCAAGCCCCAAGGGGCTCTTGCATCTGGCACCAAACACCTGGCTGCACGCCACCCAGGCACAACCCGCTCCAGGGACAGTGCCAGGTGGAGAGTTTAACTGGGGCAGTACACTGTCAAACAGTAACGCAAGTGTCCTAAGGTGAGCTCAGGGAGCACAGAAACCTCCAGTGGAACAGAAGGGCAAAAGCTCATTTGATCCTGATTTTCAGTATGAATACAGACCGTGAAAACAGGGCTTCACAATCCTTCAGACCTTTTGGGCTTTAAGCAGGTGTCAGAAAAGTTACCATAGGGATAGACTGGATAAAGAAAATGTGGCATACATACACCATGGAATGCTATGCAGCCATAAAAAAGAATGAGTTCATGTCCTTTGCAGGGACATGGATGAAGCTAGAAACCATCATCTTCAGCAAACTAACACAGGAACAGAAAACCAAACACTGCATATTCTCACTGGTAAGTGGGAGTTGAACAATGGAGAACACATGGACGTAGGCAGGGGAACATCACACACTGGGGCCTGTCAGGGGGTTGGGGGGCAAGGGGAGGGAGAGCATTAGGACAAATACCTAAGGCATGTGGGGCTTAAAACCTAGATGACAGGTTGATAGGTGCAGCAAACCACCATGGCACATGTATACCTATGTAACGAACTTGCACGTTCAGCATATGTATCCCAGAACTTAAAACAAAAATAAAAATAACATTGGAAAAAGGAAGTATTTGCTTGCAGAAGAAAATAAGTAGAAATATATATAGAATAAAATCTCAAATGCCTATGGGATAGCCAGTAACATAACACTGGTATAAAAATAAGAGACTATAGTAGAGTTTGTGGCTAAATGCGCTGACTAAATATATTCAAGCCAAAACAGCAGGCAAAACAATATGACAACCACAATATTTAAGCCAAATAAAATGTATTTGCAGTTTGAATTTGGACCCAAAGGCCACCAATTTTTATCCCTGGCATAGAGGTTCCCAATTAATAAACATTAAGAATACATAATTTACATTACAATGTTATATCCAATGTTGTCTTCAATATACTATCCATTTATGTTATACTAGTTGTCATTTTCCCACAGAAAAAAAGAACTTATCCTGAGAGAGATGGGGATGGCTTGGATTGTTTTGCACAGTTGTGACATGATCCCATTTATGTTTTAAAATTAACATCTAAACCATGACTATCATTCCCAACTATAAAAAGGAAGGATGGAAGCAAGGAAACCAGTTAGCGGACTGTTGAAATTGTTAGGCAAGAGATCATGGTGACTTGCTCCGAGATGACTGTGGTAGAGTTCAGGAGAAGGGGTAGGAGGAAGGGAGGAAGGATTACTTCAAAAGTAGAGCTGCCTCATTTTTTTTTTTTTTTTTGGCAGGTTGCATGTAGAGAGGGAGAGGAAGAGAGAAGTCAAAAATTATTTTTAGATTTTTTTTGGTCTGGACATCTGGAAAAAAAATAATTTTCCCATGACAAAGATGAGGAAGTCTGAGTTGTCAGTTTCTAAGATGCACTCAGATTTGTCTATGGTGAGTTTAAGGTACTTGCTAGACAACCAAGCAGCAACACTGGGCAAGCTGGATATATCAGTCTGTAATAAAGGGAGGGAAGTCAGAGGTGGGACTGGAGATATAAATTTGGGGAGGAACCCAGAGAAGAGCTATTAGAACTGAGCACCCTGGGGAACTCCAGCATTAAAAAGTAAGGAAGATAAGGGAAAACCAAGAAAGACAACTGTTAAAGAACAAGAGCGAGCCAAGGGAAGAAAGTATTTCAAATAATACAGTGATTAGTTGTGACAAATACAGCCAGCAGGTCAACAGGAGGACTCTGAGTTGACCAGTCAAATTAGTAATGGGCAACCTTGCTAGGAGCTATTTCAGTGAGGTAGTAGGAATGAAAGCTTGATGGGAATGCGTTCACGGGAGAATTAGAGGTGAGAAAGTAGATACAGAAAGTATCGACAAGTTTTGCTGTCAAAGCAAGCAGAGAAATTGAACAGTAATTGAAGAGGGACGTGGGGGTCAAGGGAGTTTTTTTTTAAGATTGAAGATATTATGGCATGTTTGTATTCTGATGCGAACACTCCAATAGAATGTAGAGAGGTAAAAATTAATGATGCAGGAGAGAGAGAGAGGACAACTGCAGGGGAAAAAAAAAGTCCTTGAGCTTTGGGAGCTGTAGGAGATAAAGATGAAGAAGTGAGAATAATGTACCCATGGAGGGCTCTTACTCAAATGTACCACTCCAGATCAGGACCCAAGAGGAAGGGAAAGGATCAGGAAGCTAACACTGATGAGTGCCTATGACATCTCAGGCACTTCCTGGTTATTCTTTTCAACCAGACTAGGAGTGATTCTTTTCAGCTTCCCTTTGCAGGTGAGGCAATTGAGGTTCTAAGAGATCAAATGACCTTCTGCATTGCCCATGGCCAATCCCAGCTACACAGAGGCTGCAAGAGGTCATCTTGAGCACACAGCAGCTGCCCCTTCACCCTCCACACTTCCAGACCTGCTTACATGATAATGTCCAAACGCTGAGGCTGGTCTGAACCAAGACTGTGCAAAGAACAGTTTGACTCTCTCTACTTGGGCTGCAGTTCAGCTACATAGTGGAACACGGACTATTGGTTTTCTTACCATCTTCTTTCCTCAGAGCCATAAAACCACAGAACACTAAAGCTAAAAGAGACCTCAGAGATCACTCAGCCCACCACCCCCTTTTTCCTAAAAGGAAACTGAGGCAAAAGGATACTTAGGCCCAGACTCAAAGACAAAGCAGAGACAATTGTCATCTCATGGCCTGTGAGCTGTCAAACACCATTCCTCTCTCGTCCCCAGAGACATGAGTACACGCACCGTGTGTACAAAACCGATTTGAAGATGCAAATTGGCTACATCCAATTTCATCCAACTGTCCTGGAAATTTAAGAGCTCTGCTGACAAGCACAGAGCAAAGAGTAAATTGTTCCCCTGAAAGAAATAGTCTTGGAAATGGCCTCGCCTGTCCCTGTCCAAGGTGCTAGGCATGCAGAGGCCATGAGGAAGAAGCATGTGTCTGCCAGGCCCAAATGCAACCTTCTTGTGAAAGGAGACGGGAGGGAAGGCTAGGGTTTAGAGAGAAGGCAGATAAGGGACCCCCTGAAATCCGTCAGACTTGGAAATTGATTGGCACCTTTGCCCAGGACTTCCTGTGTACCTCCTGCAAGTTTACTTTCCAAGGTAACTAGGTGTTATTGCAGGAGATGCATGCCGACCACTAAAGAATGTTCCTGCCCACTCTGGGTTTACAGAGAGAGAACAAAAGAAACAGAAGTTTGAAGTAACAGCACTACTTTCTTTTTATTTATTTTTTCTTACAAACCCCGCAGATGGCATCTGAAGACACAATTACTCTCAGGGAGACCTGGGCACATTCTCCAAGTGCCAGGGCCTCCCACACAGGGTATCGGCTGCCCCAAGCCCTGACCCTCTGACATGCCAAATGGATTCACCCAAAAGTAGATAAAACAGAACTCCACAGATTAGATCAGTGGTTTTCAAGCAGTCTTTTAGAAGCAGAAACATCATTTCAAACAAAATCTGATCAGAAGACAGCAACCACTAAAGACACTGTGCTTGAAGCCAAAGTGGGGGCTACACACCCTATGCCCTCAACCCACCCCATGCCTTGGAGATACCTCTGTAGGATGGTGGGGTTCACTGACAAGTCAAAAGTCACTTGGTTGCCAGGCACAGTGGCTCACACCTGTTGCTGCAGCTACTTGGGAGGCCAAGGCCGTAGGATCATTTGAGTCCAGGAGTTTGTTTCCTGCCTGGGCAACATAGCAAGACCCCATCTCTCTTTAAAACACACACGTATACACACATACACACACACACCCCACACACAAACGATTAGGTTAACTCACAAAAGGCCTGTAGAGCTCTGTTCCATCTCACTCTTTAGGAGGCAGATAGCCCTGTCAAGTCCCAGTCTGTAACACATCACATTGTGTCCTTCCACCCTTAGTAGTAAGACCCTACTCTCCAGTTGCAAAAATCTCTGGTCACAAACAAACCTGAACTGCACCACATTTTTTTAAATAACACTCTGCTCTTTCCCGTACCCTTCATTCAGTTTATCAGTGACTGACATGGGCTGGCTTTCATTTCCAGGTTCCACCTTGCCCTGGCATGCACCTAGGATTGACCTCCTTGCCTCTGTCTCTTTGAATGGACCTCTGGTACCTCTCCATAGCAGATGCTGTCAATGACCTGTCCATATCCCCGTGTTGGTACATGCCAGTGGTGTCCTGCTGCAAGCACATATACCTCCCTGCCTGAGGGATTTCTTTCAGTTTGCAAATCTACAGGAGATGCTGAGAGTCAATGTTCTTGGAGTAGCCATCAGCCAATAATCCTTGAGCAAAATAAGTCTGTGGAGTGTTCTAATCTATTTCCAGTTTCCCAGTAGAATTGAGCCCAGATTCTCACAGCGGGAATTTATACAATAATACATCCTTTTCAGCTTTCTTCCTTCCCTGTCTCACTTCCCCACTCCCTACTGTGTTTCCAAGGATCACCTCCTAAATAAACTACATGCATCCATCTACTTGGCTCAGAATATGCTTCTGGGAGAACCCAATCTAAGATATTTGGTGCCAGAATAAGAGTAGGAAGCAGATCTTCAGCATAAGGTGCTAGAATAGGATCACATGCCAACCAGATGCTAATGAGGACCCCATGGCTGGTGACAAATGGGATGGGGTGCAGACAACCCTGGCACACCATGGCATCACAATTACTAAAATGCTCACCTGTAGTGAAACGCATTGAGATGGAGTCCAAGTGGAAGGAAATGCACTGGCTTATACAATAGGTCTAGCACAGTGTTACTCAAAGTGTGGTCCATAGGCTTTCTTCAATTTTTTTAGAGACAGGGTCTCACTCTGTCACCCAGGCTGAAGTACAGTGGCACCATAATAGCTCCCTGTAACCTCCAACTCCTGGGCTCAGTTGATTCTCTCATCCCACCTTTCTGAATAGCTAGGACTACAGGAACACATCAGCAAGCCTGGGTAATTTTTTAGCTTTTTGTAGAGACAAGGTCTCACTATGTTGCCCAGGTTGTCCTCAGACTCCTGGCCTCAGGTGATCCTCCTGCCTTGGCCTTCAAAGATGCTGGGATTACAGGCATGAGTCATTGTGCCTAACCATATGCCTTTTTTATTTTGTTTTTTTTTTTTTAGAAATTCATCAGTCCACAAAGTATTGCTTAAACTATTCCTTTACAACAAATAGTCTGAGAAGTACTGGCCTAGACTTGAAAACAACGGGAGTAATTTTAGTTATGACAATTGTGAAGTTAGTTAAGTGTTGTTAACTGCCCCCAAAGTTCTGAAGGAAAAATATGATAGGTTCAGGCCAACTGAGCTATCAACTTGAAATTCAGAAGGTCTCCAGGAGCATGTTAGAGAGAACCTCGTCTCCTCCAGCTGAGAGGCAGACTGAACAGAAATTGGGCTCAATATATGACTAACAGGGTGGCAGAGATGCAAAGAAAGCTGCATTCAAAGCCTTCAATGCTAATGGGATGGCCCCCATTAGAAATGAATGGAACCCTGAGACCTGTGATAAAGACATTTAGATTGACTCACTTGAGAACCTTGAAGTCCCAGATTCCCCTAATCCCTTGGGCCAGCAGAAATACCACCTCCCCCATGGAGAGGAGACACTGTTTATTGGCCTGGATCCATGAAAAAGCCTCACTAAAAGCTAATGACTCACAAAATGATGATTACTGTCCCCCAGGGCTGCCTGCACTTCCCCTTGTTGTTTCTAAACCAATATCTAAGAACAAGTCTCAGCATGAATTGACTAGACAAATATGTCACTTCTTATGGAAGGAAATAGATTATTCCAAAAAAAAGAAGCTGCTGCAAATCCAGCAGGAACTTGGAGAATATGCCTGGGAATTAATCTTGAGTGTGCTGGACTGCATGGGTGGAATACAAGGTTAGGTTGTGGACAATTCATTGACATGAGAACACTTTCCTATGACTCAAGATTGAATGCCCTGGCAAAGACATTCAGAGCCAGTCCTAATGCACTGTTGGCATGGCTCCTTGAAGCTTGGAAACAATAACAGCCTATAGTATATGAGGTGGAAATGCCAGAACTGCCTTGGCAGGGTATTGAGGAAAGGAACAAAAGGCTCAGAGAGGCACCTTGTTGAATTGAATTTACTGTGTTATACCAGGGAACACGCTAACTATGTTCTCCAGGGAGGCCTGGAGGACATTGCCTTCAATAAAGCAATAAAGAAATGGGGCACTGTGATCAGTAGTTCAGTGGTGGCTATTGTCTGAGGCCAGGAAAAACAGTGGGAGATGCTGCCGTGGCTCCCAAATGTCAATGGGGCTGGGATTCTAGAATAGCCAGGACAACGTCAGAAGCAAAGTGAATGCAATTACGTGATGGGCAGCAAGGCTGGAATCATAACCAGGAGGAGGTGGGGTGGGGGGAGACTTGTTGCAATGACTAATAATCCTCGATGTTTCCAGAGGTGAGATAGATGTTCTTTGCCAACAAAGGTATTGCTTGGCTTATATAATCTAAAATGATCAAGACGGGGTGAGAAGGCTGATGTCAGTGGCTAGAATAGAACATTATAATCCCTCATCCAGTTTCCAGATCTGAGATAGTTCTTGGACTCACAGCCCATCGGTGAAAGAAGAGATCAGGGCCCCTTTGATAAAGGGTACTGAAAATGCCACAGAAAGTATATACAGTACCAATACTCTCATTCCTACCCTAAATGGACTTTTGGCCATTTATCAGAGTAACCGTATAATGGGAAAAAGATAATGCCCAGAAATTTCAGAGACTGCTGGATACAGGATCTGCACAGACTGAAACTGATACCAAGGGATCAAAAACACCATCCTATTTGAGTGGAAAGCATAGAAATATTATTTAATCAATGGACTCCCAGTAGATGTTCACTTCATAGAGGGTCCAGTGGGTTTACAGCCTCACTCTGTGGTCATTTCTCAGGTCCTTTTATGCATAATCTAGATGAATGCACCTAGAAGTTGGCAGACCTCTCACATTGGCTTCCTGGCCTGTGTAGTATTTGTTGGAGTAGAAAAGGCCAAGTGGAAGCCTCCCCACCTTTCCTGCCAGCAACACATACCCACACACTCACACACACATACTCTTACACACACTCAAACACACCCACATACATACACTCACACCCACAAACACCCACACCCACACACATACACATACTCTTACCGCTGCTATAGTTTGAATGTTTTTGTCCTCCTCCAAATTACACATTGAAATTTAATCTCTAATGCAACAGTATTTGGAAGTGTTTTTTTTTGTTTTGTTTTGTTTTGTTTTGTTTGAAAAAGAGTTTCACTCTTGTTGCCCAGGCTGGAGTGCAATGGTGTGATCTCAGCTCACCACAACCTCTGACTCCCGGGTTCAAGTGATTCTCCTGCCTCAGCCTCCCAAGTAGCTGGGATTACAAGCATGTGCCACCACGCCTGGCAAATTTTGTATTTTTGGTAGAGACAGGGTTTTCCATGTTGGTCAGGCTGGCCTCGAACTCCCAACCTCAGGTGATCCACCCACCTCGGCCTCCCAAAGTGCTGTGATTACAGGCATGAGTCACCATGCCCGGCCTGGAGGTGTGATCTTTTGGGATGTATTTAGGTCCTGAGAGCTCCACCCTTATGAATGGACTAATGCATCTTAAAAGGGCTTGCAGGAGTAGATTTTCTCTTCTGATCTTTTACCATTTGGGAACACAGCATTTGTCCCTTTTTTGCCCTTCTGCCTTCTGCCATGTAAGGATGCAGCAAGAAAATCCTCATCAGCTGCCAGTACCTTGATCTTGGACTTCCCAGACTCCAGAACTGTGAGAGGATAAATTTTTGTTCTTTAGAAATTACCCCATCTATGCTATTTTGTTACAGCAACAGAAAACAGACTAAGGCATTCCCATACTCACACCCACACCTACACTCACACACTAAAATGCACGTACATACACATAAACATATGCTCACTAGGCCAAGAGAGTAAAACAATACTACACCTTAGATGGAATGAAAAAGACTAGTATGGTATCACCTTCAAAGACTTAAAGGATGCAGGGTCATGGTCCCCATCATATCCCCATATAAGCCATCAGCAAAATTAGATGACTCCTGGCAGATAACAATGGACTACCATAAACTTAACCAAGCAGTAGCCTCAACTGCAAGTCTTTTTGCCAGACATCTTCAGTAGCATAGATGTGCACAGCCTCCAGCACTTAGTATGTGGTTTACAATGTGATGAATACATTTTTTTCAGTCTCTCTCGAGGAAGATCAGAACAAGTTTGCATTCACTTGCCATACATAACTGTACATATGAATGGTTTTGCCCAGACCTATTTAACTCTTCTGCTCTCTGTCACCATACAGTTCAAAGGAACCATCTTTTTCTCAACATTCCACAGAACATCAGACGGGCCTATTATACTGATAGCATCATAATAACAATTCAAATGAGCAGGAAATGGCAAGAACTCAGAAGTCCTGGTAAGATGTGTGCATCAGGGGTTGGAGATAAGCCCTACAAAGACTCAGAGGCCTGCCACATCAGAAAAGTTTTTAAAGGTCCAGTGGTATGGGGCATACTGTGGTATTTCTTCCAAGATAAAGAAGAAATCGTTAAACCTTGAACATCCCATCTTTAAGGTAGTGGCTTCATATTTGGTACCTTAAGACCTGGCAGATTCCAGGATGCTAGCAATATCTGAGATAGATGACAATGTTTTGAGGAGTCTTGGTGAGATTAAGCAGGGGAGTTACAGAACAAAACCCTAGGATTCTAGAGCAAGACTGAACTATCTACAGAAAAAAAAAAAAAAAAAAAAAAAAAACACCTCACCATTCAAAAGGCAGGTTTAGGCATGCTATTGGGCTGTAGTAGGGACTAATCACCTGACCATGGGATATCAAGGAACAATGAGACCAGAGCTGTCCATCATGGTCTGGGTATGTTTAGACCTGCCAAGTCATAAGTTGTGTGGACACTGGAGAATTCCACCATTTAATGAAAACAGCATATTCAAGATCAGTCCCTAGCAGGCCTAAAGGACACAAACAGGTGACCCAGATCTCATGTCACCTACTTATGTTGCACCAATGTGTTTCCTTCAGCTCCTGGTTGTAGGGAGTTCTCTATCACCAGCTGATGGAGAAGGAAAACCTTGGGCCTACTTCACAGATAAGTCAACTCCATATTCCGGTTGAACCCAAAAATGTACCACTATCTCCCAGTAGCCTGCTGCAAGGGTAGCCCTGAAATTCAGCAGTGAAGGGAAATCTTCCCATTGGAGAGGGCCTTGAACACTTGAACTGATCCCCAACCTGATGTGGCGGGAGAAGGGCCCTGAGGTTACGACAGTCACATACCCACAAGCAGTAGAGAATGGCTTAGCTGGCTATGGTCAAGAGCCTGGAAAGGGCAAGATTGCAAAATGAGGAAAAATGGGGTGGATCATTCTCATTGTCCACTAGAGAGCATTCCCACAGAGCAGGCATTGAACAACCAAACAGACAGGATCCTGAGGATGTCAGCCCACTGCTGCCCTTAAGCGCCCCAGTGAATGAAGCTTTGATAACAGGTAAGGAGGCCATGAGCCAGACAGCATGGGCTTCTTCTTACTGAGGATGGTCCAGTTATTTCCAGAGATTCATATGGTCCCTCATTCCCAATGCTGAGTCCTCAGTTTGACACCATCCCTCAAGGAAACCCTGCAGCCACTTTATGGCAAGTTGATGATGTCAGAATTCCTCACCCTGGAAAATGTGTTTTGTTCTTACTGCATTGACACATATTCTAGGAAAGGCTTTGCCTTTTGGACCTGCAGTGTCTTGAATAGAACTAGTGTCCAAGGGCTCATAGAGTATCTGGTTTACTATATGGGATCTTGCAGTATATCACTGTGGGCCAAAAGATGCACCTTGCAGCGAGAGAGGTGTGGCAGTCAGCACACAACCACAGGGCCCAGTAGTCCCGTCATACATCCAATACATCCATCTCTCAGAAGCCACCAATCTGATAGAGCTTTGGGTTGGCCTCATGAAGGTTCAGCTAAGCACCAGCTTGGTAATAACATCCATGGGGTTGGGACACTAGTCAAGATGCAGCATACTGTTTGAACTAATGACTACTTTGCGGTGTTGTATCCCCAGTGACTTAAATACATGGGTCTGAAGACCAAGGGCTGGCAGAAGAGGTAGCCCTTCTTAGCACCATTCCCAGTGACCCACCGGAGGAATCCATGCCTCTTGTCCCTGCACATTTAGGATCTGATGAACCTGATTCCAGGGTCGGGGGGAAATACCTGAAGCAGGAGACACAGTAAGGGTTCCTCTAATCCTAAAGTGAGGGCTGTTCCCTGGTCATTTTGGGGTCCTCATGCCAGCATACCAGCAAGCAAAGAAAGAAATTATCAAACCAGGAGGGGAAATTGACCTGATTCCATGAGCAGTTAGGATTTCTGCTACATCATGGGGGCAGAAAGGAACAGGTCTGGAATTCAAGAGATCTGCTGGGGATGCTGCTTTGTGCTTCTGCGCCCAGGGATAAGCATGAATGGGCAACTCTCTCAACCAACGGCCTGACAAAGTCACAGTAGCCAGGGGCTCAGCCTCTCAGGGATAATGGCTTGGTCCATCCCACCAGGCAAGCAAAATGTAGCAGAAATGCTGGCTGAGTGCCAGGAGAATGTAGAACCAGTTGGTGGTGAAAGAGCAACATGATGATTATCACTTACAACCTCAGAATCAACCACAGCAGCAAAAACTTCGTCTCACTAGCCCCTTAGTTGTCTTTTTTATTTTATTAGGATCGGTCACATTTGAAAGAAACAGTCAGGTTGCAGTCAGGTTAACTGGGCCATGAGGGGGTCTGAGTAGTGCAAGGGGAGGATCAGAATAGACGCTGTCAGTTCCCTGTCCATATCCCCTGCACACTTACCGTTCCAGTACACACCAACAGCATCCCTACACCTGCAGCTCTCCCCCTAGAGCTCGCCTGAAGTGCTGGGGAATCAAGGTACCCAGAGGTGTTGATATGAGTGGGATGCTGATGATAGGGAGGTGAGGGAGGATTCACACTGGGTTTCCTCAGCCTTCAGCATGATGTAATCATTTCACAATACACATATATATCAAAATACCATGCTGTACACATAAATAAACATAACTTTTTGTCAACTAAGAAAATATTTGTTAGGTTACAAACTCCCAATAGGGAAATTTAAAGCACCCTGAGTTTGATATCTGGGGCTCTCCTTGGTATCCCTAAAATCACACCACGTAGACAGCTACAACTCACCTATGCCTAAAACACCTTTAGGGAGCCTTTGAGAACTCATGGCTCATGGATCCCAGCAATGCAAGAAGATCCCACCCTAAATCCAAACACAGAGGGAGGGGATAGAGGGAAACCCTTGAGGAAATGAATCAAGAAGCAGCGAGGCACCAAGAAGGAAGAAACCAAAGAGGAGGCGACAGACTAAGGGCTTGAGGGGAGAGAAAGCCAGGAGAGAAACTACACACAGTCACCCACAAGCAAACAAAACCTGCACATACACACAGTCAAAGGAGAAGCATCAGCCGAGACCACAGATGAAATTTAAAGTTGTTATGGCAACCAGAACAGGTGGGTGGGCACTTATGCCCACCGAATTTACAAAATTAAAGTAAGCATTGCATTTGCTAACTAATTAAATAATGCCTTCTAAATATTTCTAAACCCCCAGCCATGAGTCACAAAAGAGGGCAGGGAATGGGAAGCCAGAGCTCTCATTCATTTACTCCAGGGTCTAGAGAGCTGCCTCACAGGGTGGCTCTTACTGAGGAAGGTGGGGGCTGAGAGGGTCGGGGACTAGCAAGTGGGGGTGGCAGAGACTTGAGGACATCCCTTTGGTGACAGCAGGAAAAAGCCAGTTTTAGGCAAAGAGTAAGCAAAGACTCAGAACTCTCCCTTGAAGCCTCCCAGAGGACAAGTGACAGAGGCAGAGCCGGCCCACCATGTGTGTCCTCCGCCCCAGCCATTCTGCAGTGCCCTCTTTCCCATCCAGAACCAGGGCTACGACAGAGACATGGTGGGTAACAACTGGATCCCAGGGGGTTGCAGACACCAAAGCCCACGTCTCTGCAGAGACATCGGGAAGCTCAAATAATCCAGTCAAATAAGGCAGCTGGCTGGAGGAGACAATTCGTTCAGATGTGGGGGGCGGATTGGTTTATTTTTAAGAAATAAAAGGAAAAGCAGCCTCTGCTAGGAATCAGATGCGCCATCTTAGCTGCTCTTCCCTGGGGAAATAAATTACACATAACACTGTACACAAACACAGCTCCACACACAAACCCAGCTGGCTGCGCTGTAGCACTTGTCTTCCTGGGGAAATAAATTTCAATGTCTATATATCTCTATCTATAGATACATGCACAGAAAAGGTCACACCATGTCTCCTTCAGTGCCCCTTTCACTTGAAATTAAACAATAATTGTTTCCGTGTTTAGTCTCCTGCAAAGGGAAATCATCACTGGAGTAGCTCACCTAAACACACAGGCATCGCAGGCCTTCTTGTTATGCCCATGGGCAAAGTAAGGCAGGAAACAGAGCACCAGGATGCAGAGATGTGGGTGGCATGAGCATCCCAGGAGACCCTGGTGCAAAGAACCCAGCCAGTGCCTGGGGACACATGAGTCACCCCACAGGGAGCTGAGGCTGCTCTGATGTTTTCTGTTTCCATGTTAGTGGTGCAATGGTGTGTGTGTGTGTGTGTGTGTGTGTGTGTGTGTGTGTGTGCCCATCCCCTCAGGACAGGACAGGTCTTCAGCTTTCCTTCCACAACTGCAACCAGCCCAGCTTACCACTCTAAGTTCCACTGAATTCAAAAGCTTCAGAGCTAGAAGTAGTCTCATTTTACAGAGGAGAAACTGAAGGTCGGAACTGGTGACAAGGATCCATGTAAGCTCCGTGAGGGCAGGGTGATGTGTCTTTTGTTTCCTGTTATAAAATGTACCTGTTATGTGAGAAAAGAAGGGAGGGAGGAAAGGAGCAGGGAGGGAAGGAGAGAAACACTGTGTACCCTGTCTCCTTGTGTGCTATTCTCTCTCCTAAATCTGAAGCCTCCATCAGGGTGAGC
This sequence comes from Homo sapiens, assembly GCF_000001405.40. Taxonomy (NCBI): domain Eukaryota; kingdom Metazoa; phylum Chordata; class Mammalia; order Primates; family Hominidae; genus Homo; species Homo sapiens. The sequence goes on from NW_017852932.1 coordinate 217,990, forward strand.
CACAGGACATAGCAGCACCGTGTCAGGGGCTGTAGCAACTGCAGGGTCATGCTTAGATCCTGAGTGGAGTCGGAACTGTGGTCTTGGTGGCACCAGGGCGTGTAGCAGGAATCCATCCAATCTGGAGGCCTCTCTCCTCTCCTGTTCATGGAACCACATCCTTCAAGCCCCCCAGTGCATGACCCTCCCTGATCACTGCAGCCCCTGCTGCTGCTCACTTCCAGAACTGCATCCATCTGCTGCCAATCGGTGCCTTAGAGGTGCCAACCCCCTCTCCCACGCAAGTCTATGCCTTACAAGAGACCACTGGTTGGATGTTTGCGGGTGTACACATCCAACCATCCAACTCATCTCTCCAGCAAGAGTGTAAGCATATGTCTGGACTGATGCTGCATGCATAGAAAGCCATCAACAAATGCTTGGTGGGTTGTTGGATTGATGTGTGAACCAAGAGAAGCAGAGGGGATTTCTGGAGGACGGAAGTCGGACCCTAAGAAAGGCTGCTGGGAATACCCATTCTGGTTCTGCCATGGGTGTCTGCTCTGATTTCACGCCTTAAACAGCTTCTGGCATATCCAGATTTGCAGCATGGTTTTAAAACCATCATAGTCGCTTCCGCTTCTGCTCAGGAATCCCTCCAGGCTTCCTTTCTGCATATATGTCTAACGTCCTCTGGCACCGGCTCCCCCAGCCACTTCTCTGCCTGGCTGTGCTTCCTGGCTCCTCTTCTCACATACCCTGTTTGAATTTGGCTTCAGGTGGCTCATCTTTCTTGGACCTGGGAATCTGCTGGGACGAGGCCGCCAGTGGTTGCTTGCATGGCTCCAAAAGTTGACACTTGGGACAAGCACTTCACAGCCTCCATCCTATGCCTAGAAGCCAGGATGCAGTCAGGCAGAGACCCCAGAGCCCCTAGCCCCTCTGCTCAGGGGAAGGATATGACCATCAGGACAAAGGTTCATTTGAGTAGGGAAATGGGAGAAACACCAAGCCCTTGGCATCCAGGCCCGAATTATGTGGCCCCTGCAGGCCCCCTTCAGTCACCCCAAGGCTGCTAGCCTCAGCTGTCTTGGCCAGGCTGACTGAGTCCTGGTGGGGAGGGCTGCTCTTGCCTTTTTGCCGGCATGCTCATTCCAGTCAAACTAGGCCTGTCCTTCCCTATCAGCTTCTGGGTCAAGTCCCCAGGGAAGGGGGAAAGGAGAGGTCAAGACACAAGAGGAGATGTCACTTCTCGTCGAAGTCTAGTGCCAAAAGCAGGGAGGAGGGCTGCCTTGACAAGCCCTAACACTGTCATTGTTGCCTCCCGTCCCTTCCAGGCTCACACGGGTGAAGAGTGGGGGTGCATGAAACAGGCACAGTGGGGCAGCCTGTCACTTGCACACTGGCTATCTGGCATGAGCCAAGTCCAAGGTTGTATCTCATGACAGAACCGGACAAGAACCAGGTGGTGGGCGGTCCATTCATTCCATGAATGTTGCACATCAGCTCTGTGTCATGCTCTGAGGCTAAATGGGGAGCAAGAATGGCCCAGTCCCTGCCCATAAGAAGCTCACTGTCTAGTAACAGGCCTCAGCAGTCCTGTGTGACAGACATGTTGAGGAGGGAAGGACAGGGTACAGTGGGAGTCACGGGGGAGGGCAGAGGAACGCTGGTTCCTGGAACATCAATGCCCATAGAACAAGGGGGCAGTCAAACACTCAGCAATGCTGCATGGGGGCTACAGGTGTGAGCTTGGGAGGAGCACAAGCCTGGGTCTAAATTCTGGCTCCACACTTACTAGCTGTGTGGCCTTGGGTAAGTAGCTTAGCTTCTCTGTGCCCCAGGTTCCTTCTGTAAAATGAAGGTGGGAAGATAAAAGTCCCTAAGTCACAGGGCTGTGGCGAGAATTAAATAAGAAAGTGACCTAGCCCAGAGTGAGCTGCCAGTCAAGGTCAGCTGCTACCATTGTCATTCTTAATAGTATGTTATTACTGCTGAGCACAGTAATAGCCATAGTAGTGGTAGCTGCTGCGGTTGTCATTGTTGTAACCATTAGCACCTGCGGAGTCTCAGCTGCTCGCAGTTGCTCCAGACCAGGGCAGCCTGGGTGAGGTAGTAGGGAGCAAGGGTGAGGGACTAGGAAGGCCACTCTTCTACAACCCTCAGGGCACTGGAGAAGCCGTCTGGACGGGGTCTTCGGCACAAGGAACAATATGGGAGCCCAGTCACCAGAGAACAAGGTCAGAGTCAGATTAGCTTGTAGGGTGATAATCTGGAATGACTTAAATCACTCCCTCCTGAGAGACATTGAGACATTGACTTGCTAGGGGGCTAAGAGGCCCCACCTATGGGAGAAGGGAGGGGACAGAGACAGAGACCCTCTGAGGAAAGAGGGCATTTGCAGGGCATGACCTGGAGACGGGAAGTGGCCACCAGCATCTTGGACCACAGTCTTGGCAGGGACCATCTGTTCCAAAGCTCTTAACCTGTTCCCACTTTGGAGCAATTCCAAAGTCTGATTAATGTCCTGGATCTTCTCTCCTCCAGAAAATGCAGGTCTTATATTTTGAATAAAAGGTCTATATTTTGTATAGAAGTCCAGGCTTGAAGGACTTCCATAATGTCATGTACTATAGGAATTCCTCCAGGCACAGCACACCCGCAGCCAGGGGACATCCACAAAAATGCTTACCTGTGGTACCAGTAACAAGAACACAAATGGCTTGCCGGGTGCCCACACCGCATGTCTCCTGCCACTTTCTGAAGAATGACACCAAGGCAGCAGATATTACGGCCCCCTTGAGTGTGGAGATACTCAAATGGCCTGTGGTCCATGTTCACTCAATGATCTGCCAAGGCCTGTGGAGCCAGGCCTGTCTGCGGCAGACACTGCAAGGGATACGGGATCAGGTGAACCCTCAAGGCTCTCACGGCTCATGGGGAAAAGCAAACATAAACACAACTAACCCCAAGCTACGGCACAGGACAGCAGGGGTCCCCCAGAGAGACAGATGGATTCTACAGGAGAAGAGAGCAATTCCACTGGGGGGTTCCCAGGGGCAGGATGACAGAAGACTTCCCAGAAGAGACCCTGATGCTTGAATCAGATTCCAAAAAGCATAAAGTTTTGTTGAAAGTAACTGTAGCAGAATTGCCAGGAACTCTACAGGACTTTTTTTTTTTTCTTTTTTTTTTTTTTTTTTGAGACGGAGTCTCGCACTGTTTCCCAGGCTGGAATGAAGTGACACGATCTCGGCTCACTGCAACATCTGCCTCCTGGATTCAAACGATTCTCCCGCCTCAGGCTCCTGAGTAGCTGAGATTACAGGTGCCCGCCACCAAGCCTGGCTAGTTTTTTTGTTTGTTTGTTTGTTTGTTTGTTTGTTTTTTAATGGAGATGAGGTTTCACCACATTGGCCAAGATGGTCTCAAACTCCTGACCTCAGGTGATCCGCCCACCTCAGCCTCCCAAAGTGCAGGGATTACAAGTGTGAGCTACCGTGCCTGGCTCTCTATAGGACTTTTGAAGAGACAGGGTGCACTAACCACATTTTCTAGTTTCCGCATTCGATGCTTTGACATCTCGGGGCCTTGCTGATACTGGAGGGCTGCCTCTCCCAGAGCTAGCAAATTCCTGGAGAGAGCGAACCAACCAATCCAGAGTCCACTCCTTTACCACTTACCCCTATCATCTTCTTACACTTCACTCTGGACCTCTCTCTACCTGGCCGACTCACCCCAGGGCCAGGGACCAGACAACTAGGGACAGTCCCTGTGCCACAGAGCTGCTGTAACTATTCAAACTAGCCAGCTCTGGGCCTGAGCTGTCCCAGGGAAACCACTGTAAAGGCTCCTGGCCACGTTTTTCCCTCCCTTCTTCTGCCTTGCGACCACCCCTGGTGCTTCCCTTCTGTGGCCCTGCACGCTGGGCCTCCCTTCTCCTTCCTTCGTGACAGTCATTTCTGTGTCTGGGTCTCATACCATCTCTGACTAAAACCAATCCCAGGTACCCTTAAAACATGGGTCTGCTTCCCTGAGGGAAGGAAGCCTGGTTGGGCTCTATCTGTAGATACCAATCAATGGAAGAAAGATGTCGATTTCTCCATGGGACCAACTCATGAGTAGAGAGGAAACTGTAAGGAAGACAGGCCTAGCCCTGCCTACATTTCAGCATGGTGCAGGAAGAGAGTCCAGGGGATCTGCCAAAGACCTCTTCTAGCTGGGGAACTGCACCAAGCTTAGGGAGATTCCTAACAGAGAGCTCTAAAAGAGAAATCCCACTGGGTCCATTTAAAGGCAACCACGAAAGGCCAAAGTGTTCTGCTTGGGCATCTTCCTAGGAGGAAATGCCATCAAACAGTGAGGGTGAGGACTGGCCCCTCAGTGCCTATGGCGATCTCTGGCATCAGGGACGGCCTTGCTGTTAACCAAATGTGTGCAGTTGAATCCCAAGACACAGGGCCGGGGGAGGCCGCAGAGTTAATAAGCAAAGAGACCCAATCTCTGGGGCCTGTGAAGAGGAGAGGGTTTTACCACTTCACCTGGCTGGAGGCTCAGGTATGTTGTTTCCACAAATCCCTGCAGGCCCCAGCGAGAAAGCCATGGGCAAGATGGGCACAGGAAGGTGGTGGGGACAATGGGTTTGTGCAGGGGGCAGCCAAAAGGATTCCATGCCCAGCACCAGGCCTGACCCCCAGGGGCCACAGGGAGGGGAAGAAAAGGCCCTGTCTCCCCTGCCTTGCACCATGGTCCAGCTGGACTCGAAGGACAATCCCATGAAGTCAGCAGATGGAACAGAGAGCTGCAGGGCAAAGGCTGGAACACTAGGCCAGTCACGTTTCTCTAGAGTCAAAGCCACAGCGCTGCTTTTTCCCGCTCCAGCCCCATAGCCAGGAAAAATCGGCCCCTTTGTGCTCTCCAGCTAGAGGTCACTGGGGCATCTCCTCCAAGGCTCTATGTTTGGGGCTTGGACCCAGGGCTTCCTGTTGCCTGGGAGCCATCTGGCTCAACAGATCCCATTGTTTGGGATGGGGACAGGGCTGGAGGCCCTGGGGAAGCACCCAAGGTCTCAAACATTTAAACCGCTACATCCTGCAGCAGTGGCTGTGGCCTCACTCGAGGAGCATTCTTGGGCTCCCTCTGGGGTATCCGCGCAGCAGGCTTTCTTCCATCAGCAGCCAGGGGACACCCATAAAATATGCTCACTGTGCCAGGAATGAGAATAAAAGTGCCTCACTGGATCCCCAAACTTCACACCTCCTATTGTGTTCTCAGTTTAGATTTGCAATAGCCCTGGGAGGCAAGTGTCCAGCACTGCAGGGCTGTGCCATGCTGGGCACCAGGTCTAGCACTCTATGGCCTTGCTTCTTTTGTCTGATCCAGTGCTATCACAAAATTCTTCCCTGCATTCACCCCTACCCTGACCCTCACCATCTACCCCTGCCTCCAACCTCTGTCACAAAGCTTTTCCCTGTACTAGCCTCAAAGCCCAAACTGGACAATGTCTTTGCTATGTCTTTTGGCCTCTGCCCAGTAGGGTGGCCATATGTCCCATATACATAGAACAATCATTCTCTCCATCCCTTGTCCCAGTTTTAATATTAATAGCATTCCCTTTCACCTGCAGCAGCATCTTCTTTTGGAAGATAAATTATTTGACTGGCTTCCCTCATGGGTTACATTCAGAAGTTCCCACCTGCCCTCTACCTATAGAGGTCCTGAAACCTCAGCCCAAAGTGGCACCTCTTCCTGGGCTGGGTGTGGCACTTTCACCGTGCCCAGCCTCACTGGGGAACAGGAACCAGAGGGAAGGCATTATTCCAGTGAACAAATGAGAACACTGAGGTCAGAGAGAATGCAATCTGCCCAAATCACTGAATTTGTTCATAGCAGGACTCAAGACTATATAAGGATTCTATGCTGGATATACTTTCACCAAACCAGGCCATCGTCATGACCGTGCTTCCCACCATATCACAATTGCAGGCTTGGATGCCCTCTTGGGACTTGCCTTGTTGTCTGCCATTGCTCTTGAGTTGTTTCATGTATAATGGATTCTCTTGTCCCAGGTGATAAAGTCACAGAGCCCAAGAGCTGTGTCTTCTCCTTTTCTCAGCCTAGGTACAGAGGATCTGCTCAAGAAATATTTGCAGAATCCATTTGAATGTTGCTGAGTCCTGCAGGTTTAGGAAACTCTCCAGAAGTGTGGCAAGACTTCTTCAACACTGATGTGATATTGAGTGGTGAGAAGGATGCTCTCTCTAAACTGCTTTTCAGCTCTTCTGCCATGACCTGTCCAGGCTGTCTGCACCAAGGCCACATATGGAGAAGACCCACCCCCACCAAAAAGACCAAGAACCCACCATGGAGGGAAGAGCTTCATGGACAGTAGCATGGCCAGTTGCATGGAGAAAGGTCCTAGGCCTGCATTCTAGATTTATGTCAACATCCCAAATCTATGCCAAGACTGGACAACTGGTGTCAACTTTTGAGACAGACCACTGGGATCATGCCCCCTCTCTCTCCACCCACCATAGTTTATACAAAAATAACTGATGCAGTGAAACAACATGTAGACCTCCCAGCTTTCTCTACTTAATCCCCACTGGGTATGAGGCCTTGGGAAACGCTTCCCTCCTCTGATCCTTAGGTTCCTCATCTGTAAATGAGAGCACTGGACTAGATCAGTGCTGCCCAGTGGAAATGTCATGTGAGCCATGGATAAAATTTTAAACTTTCTAGTAGCCACATTAAAAAGCGGGGGGGAAGGTGTGGAATTAATCTTAATAATGTATATCATGAACATCATATATACCAGGAGTCCCCAACCCCCAGGCCACAGACTGGTACCTGTCCAGGGCCTATTAGGAACCAGGCTGCACAGCAGGAGGTGGGCAGCAGGTGAGTGAGTGAAGCTTCATCTGTATTTACACCCGCGCCCCATCACCTGCATTACCACTTGAGCTCGCCCCCTGTTAGATCATCAGCAGCATTAGACTCTCATAGGAGCGTGAACTCTATTGTGAACTGCGCGTGTGAGGGATCCAGGTTGCATACTCCTTATGAGAATCTAATGCCTGATGTCACTGTCTCCCATCACCCACAGATGGTACTGTCTAGTTGCAGGAAAACAAGCTCAGGGCTCCCACTGAGTCTACATTATGGTAAGTTGTATAATTATTTCATCATATAATGTAATAAGAATAGAAACAAAGTACTCAATAAATATAATGCACTTGAATCATCCTGAAACCATCCCTCACCCCATCTGTGGAAAAACTGTCTTCCACGAAACCAGTCCCTGGAGCCAAAAAGGTTGGGGACCACTGAAATATACAACATGTTATCATCTCGACACATCATCAATATAAAAATTAATGAGATAATTTTAAATTTTCTCATACTGAGTTTGAAATCTGATATGTATTAGGCCAGGCGCGGTGGCTCACGCCTGTAATCCCAGCACTTTGGGAGGCTGAGGCGGGTGGATCACGAGGTCAGGAGACTGAGACCATCCTGGCTAACACGATGAAACTCCGTCTCTACTAGAAAAATACAGAAAATTAGCCGGGCATGATGGTGGGTGCCTGTAGTCCCAGCTACTCGGGAGGCTGAGGCAGGAGAATGGCGTGAACCTGGGGGGTGGAGCTTGCAGCGAGCTGAGATTACGCCACTGCACTCCAGCCTGGGTGACAGAGCGAGACTCCGTCCCAAAATAAAAAGAAAGAAAAAAGAAATCTGGTATGTATTTTACACTGGCATCACATGCCAGTTCAGACCAGTCCCACCTCAAATGCTCAGTAGCCACAATGTAGTGCCAAGTGGCTGCCATATTGGACAGTGCAGGACTAGACAACCCTAAGGACCCTCCTCGTTCAGATAACTTGGGATTTCGTGATCACGCCTCTACACTTTGCCAGACAGCAGATTCTCCATCACCAGGTTCTGCCCACCTGCTCTCAAGGAGACACAACTCTACCACCTGGGCAGCCCACGCCATCCTTTGCCACCCAGTGCTGACCTTGTGCTCTCCAGATAGGAGGCTTGGCTTACCTGGATCCACGTTCCAAGCCACAGGGGTCCTGCCCCAGTGCCTCTCTCAGCCCAAAGTATGAGCTTGGTTTCCAAGTCCAGGCTTCCGGGCCACCCAGCCTGCTCAGAACTTCTCTCCAAGTCAGTCATTAGAACTGCACACTATGGCAGGGAGGGCTAAAAGAGACTTAGGAGCCCACATATGTGGCAGTCCTCCCTCTGGACAATTCTATGTGTGTTTGTTTCATGCCAAGCATGTGGCAAGTTCTATGCCAAGCTTGTGGGCACCAAAGAGAGCTAGATAGTGGTCCTCTATTCCCTTAAGACCCTAACCCTGATGTGCATGGAATAGACAGCTGGAGGATGACAAAAAACAATATATGCTGAAGTGTTCAATCGGATACCTCATTGTCAGAAGCCATATCGGCGGGGGTCTCAGCAGGAAACAGATGGTACACTCAAGCTGGATAACTGAGGAGAGTTTCATGAGAATGCTATTTTGAAATATGTGGGAAAGGTTTAGAGAAATACACAAAGGATGACATGTACAACTCTCCTGGGCCTGGAGAGGCCAGAGGAAGGAGAAACTGAAGAAACAGAGAGGATGGTGGCATGGAGAGGTCCACTTAACAAGAGTTGTAGCAACTGAGGCAACCACTCAGGGAATGAGTATGCTCCATCCACTCTCCTCCCACCCTCTGATCTCCATTTGGGTCATTCCATTGGCTAAACCCAACCTGAGGCCAAAGACAAGGGAGTCTATAGGGGTTGGCCTCCCAGAGCACACAGTAGGGTAAGGGTGAGCATAGGGGGACCAAGAGAGGATATCCAGGCCATGGACTGATACGAGAACATCACAGGTGGTAAGTATGAAAGAGGTCAGAGTTACTTCTTCCCTGCTGGGGGAAGCAGGGCTAGGCTTGGATCCTGGGGGATGAGTGGGCTTTGGAGAGATAAGAAAGGAGGACCCTACAGCTTGGATGGCAGAGTCAAGGCAGATGGCCTGAGCGAAGTCAAACAGTTGGAGATCAGTGTGAAGTCCTCAGAGATGGGGTAGCTGTGATAAGTCACTGCAGAGACCTTGAAGTCTCCTTTCCTCACCAGCTCCAAGATCCTGAGATCCCAGGCTTCCTTCCTGGAAAGAATAGATGTGAACCTTGAAAGGCTGAATTTGAACTGGGCCCCAGAAAAAGGCAAGGAAGGCTATAGAAGTTCAGAAAGGAAAGAGAAGAGTTGATGTGTGATGCTCCCATCATGAAGACTGAGAGATAGCAAAGCAGTATAGGTGCTTCACGGTCTAGTATGGAAGAGTAAATAGTCTGGTCTCTAGATATAGCCAGGGAGGATAGAGGTCTAATAGGTATAAGAGTAATAACTAGAATAGGCTTGAGTATAAGTATAGCACTTTCCACATGATCCTTACATAAATTACCTCATTTGATTATCTCAACAGCCATATAGAGGAAAAGGAGGGAGCTAGGGAAAGAGGTACCAAATGCAATGAACACCAAATATGTGCCCAACACTGTATGTAACATTGTGCACTTCATGGGTCTACAGTCCCATTATTCCCATTACACAGAGAAGAAAACTAATGATCAAAGGAAGTAAGTGATTTGTTCTAGGTCAGAGAGCCATCAAGTGAAATGGGACTGGGACCCAAGCTATGAATCTAAATCTCTATGTCTTTTCCACATTCGTAAAATAATGAGAGAACAATGCAAGCCAGCATCAAATGAGATCCTGGATACCTATCACTTTATGGGAGGGCAGAGCACTGGGTAATTGAGGCATTATCGTTACAAGGGTTGGGGGCAGAATTTGGGCTGCAGACAACAGGTGGTGGAGTTCAGAGAAATGCAGCCTAGAAGAATGGACAAGAGTCAGTTTCATGTCAGAAGCAGGAGGAGCTTGCACACCCAAGTTAGGTTTCTATGGAAAACAAACTTCCTCTTCTGGGAGCCTTGATCTTCTCTCTTTCTCTAAGCATAATGGGAGGCCCCCACCCCCATCCACCCCCTCTGACAGGTCATGATAGGGAGCCTCCCCCACCACCCAGTATAGCAGTCACCATCCAGATTTCTGTCCCATGCAGAAAAACAAGATTGCAAGTATGCAGGAAGACATATGGGGTTTAAATGTAGGGTCTGTGGGTCCTGCCAGCCAATCCCCGCTGGCCAACAGAGCAAAATGATACATAAGCTCCAGGTCACTCTGTCCCACCAGCAGGCACGGAGAAGGGGCAATGATACACACATTCTGCCAAGGCCCATTGCATCTGTATCTTAATTATAAAAAAAAGAATGCTTCTGAGGATGGACCTTCCTATTTGCAACATCTTTGGTTTGAAAATTTAGGTCATCATTTCTTATTTAGGCTGTGTCTATAACAGAAAAGCACCAGATGGGGAGAGGGTCAGCCAGTGTTCCTGGCGGTTTCATGACTGATTTAGCCAATATGGTTTGTCTGAGCCTATGTGACCTGGTATTTAAAAAGGGGAGTAGGAGGGACAAAGGCAACATGACAAAAGGAAATCAATGGACCGGACAGCTCTATGACGCACTGCGAAGGTGCACTCAAGGAGCAGCATTGGGGTGGGGAGGGGCAGGGGCCTCCAGGGCTCTGAACCATGCCCCAGTGCACATCAGAATCACCTGCAGAGCCCCTAAGTAATACCAATCCTGGACCCCACCCTCGGAGATTCCAGTTTACTGGTCTGAAATGGGGCCACAAACTAATAGTTTTTAAAAATGCTTCAAGGACAGCCAGAGTTGAAAAAACACCAATATTAATCCAATTCTACTTTCTCTGAAGCCCTTCCCCTCCGCCCCCCACCTTCTTTTCCCTTCTTCTTCCCCATGCCTAGTTTCTGGGGTCACCGATCAGTACCACTGCTCTCCAACAAGAAAGGTGACCAGCCATCCCGCTTCTAAAACCAGAAGCCCAGCATCCCAGGAAGCCCCTAGCCCCAGACAAACTGGGAGGACCAATTCCTGGGTTGCCAGCTCTCCTGAGCCTGACAATCACCATCTTTAGAGATGATGAAGAGCTCAGAGCCTGCCTTCCTCTTTGATCTTTCCTGATCATCCTAAGCCCCGGGGACTGTTATGAGAACCCCAGAGCCCACCAGCCCTGGGTCCCCTCCTGCTGCCCTAGCCTGAGGCACCGCACACATTTGAGAAGGGACACAGGTAGGGCCCAGTGCCACCTGGTTGGTGCCCCGGGCTGATTTGCCCCACATCTGAAATTGCACCGTTGGTGCTAATGTGCTACTTCCAGTGGTCCTGGAGCTCTAAATTCAGGAGCCATTTACTAAGCAATATTCGTATTTATTTGTGAAATTATATGGACCTTTATAGCACATTTACAAAGACGAATAAATCCCTGCTCACATGGCCCAATTTGTTGTTCTAACCTGACACTTCCGTGTCATGATCACCTTTCTTTCAGCTGGTTATGGCCAAGGCTGTTAGGGATTTATTAGAGGCATTTTCTAATGTGCTTTACAAGATGTTGTTGAGGCTGTGGCTTTATTTATGGGCAAGAGGGGGAGGGATGGAGGAAAAGTGTTGGGGAGAGGGGAGAGAAAGAAAAAGAGGGCACTACAAGCAGGTGACAGAATGAGCTTCCGTGCATCTGGAAGCATCATCCAGGGATGAGTTTAATAGAAACCCTCTTTCCAGCCTCCACCCCCACCTCCCACCTCAGCTCACCCACCACTTGAAAAACTTTGATCTCTAACTTCTGCAATATTATTGATCTTCAGAGGTGGAAATTTTTTTTAAAGACACAGACATCAAGGAGATTTTAAGATAAGACTAGGGATGAAGGGACCTCCTTTATACCTGGGGAAATATCAGACAGCTTTGCTAGAAGTGAAGTTTCCACCCTCTGATTCTTTCTACCAAAAGAAGGAAAGAAGGAAAAAGCAAATGGGAGGCAACATTTGTCACGGTCTTCCATGCCCTTTCTGAGGGCTGGAGACAGCTCCCTTAGTGGCCAGCTCACCCTTTCCTAGCAAGGGTTAGACTGAAGATGGCTGAAATAATCCAAATGAGGAGTCCCAATATTCGCTTGACAAACATTTACTGAGTTCCTTGAACAGCAGCGCTGGATGGGCAAGTCAAGGTTTGCACCCTAGGGGAGTTTGCCCCGTGAGGAAGAGAGGTATGTTTGCAGGCTCACTATTGTTAGCATCTACCGGGCTGGATGCTGTCACGGAGACATGCAGAAAGATCAACAGGAGCAAAAGCAGAAGCCACAGTTTTCTGGATCATGGGGAATCAGACAGGGCTCCACTCACCTTTGAGCGAGGCCTTAAGAGAAGAAATAAAGCTTTCCAGGGAGAGACAGGCTTCCCATCAGAGAGCCAGCCTGCAGATGGCGGCACCAGTGCTTGGAAATAGTTGCTCATTCCATAAATGGTTGCTTAGCTTGGTCAGGTGCCAGAGGCTTTTCCAGGGACTAGAAGACAATAGCGAATGAGGCAGACAAGGCCTTTACCCTTGTGGCACTCATGAAGTTAGAGTCCAGGGGCTTTGAGCTGAGACCTGGAGCCTGGAAAGGAGTCAGCCAGGCAAAAACCGAGGAACACAAAGGAAGTCCAAAGGTTCTGGCTTAAGAACAGGAGTGAGTCCATTGTGGCTGCACAATGATTCAAAACAAAACTGGAAAAGTCACTCAGAACCAGATGACTATGGTAAGGAGTGCGCCTTTTATTCTAAGGGCAAAAATAAGTGTTTCATTTAGCATTTTCAACAGCACACTGGCCCAGTGCCCATGGACACACCCAGCTTCCAGATTTTCCTTTCTCTAAGAAAATGGCTCCAGTGCTCCTTGGAATAATGGCTGATTCTAGGGCTTGGGCAGGGAACACACCAGATGAGCCCACGGCACCTTCCAGTGCCAGAAAGCAGGGATGTGCTAAACAGAGGGAGCACGGCAAAGTGACACGGGAGCCAAACCGAAGCAGGTCCCCAAGGCCAAAGCTGGAACACTTTGCACAGTAAGTAAATAAAATAGTATTGAATTGGGACCCAAAGTATGATGCAAATACCCATGAGTCCACTGATATAAATACATGATGAATTAATAAATAAATGAATGGATGAATAAGTGAGAGAGGAGAAACAGATCTCCCCTATAAAACTCCAAATATTTAGTAGACGTTCTCCACTCCAAGTCATGGAGTTTAATTTTCTTCTCTTCCTGCCCCTTGAATGTGATCTGCTCTTGGTGACCTGCTTCCGAAGAGTAGAGCATGGGAAAGGAGCAGGAAAGGTAGCTGCAGAGGAGAAACCTGGCAAACATGACCTCAGCCAGGTGATCAAGGCCAAGGTCCACAGTGAAACACATCGCTGATGCTAGGTAGCCTTCATGTGATGTGAATAGAATAGCACTTCTCCTCTCCAAAACCCATAACTCCAGCCTAAACATGAGAAAACCATCAGATGAACCCAAATTGAGGGGCATTGAACAAACTGCCTTACCTGTACTCCTCAAAACAGTCAAGGTCATCAGTAACGAGGAAAATCCGAGAAGCTGTTACAAGGAGACATGATGACTGAATGTAATGTGGGATTCCAGCACAGAAAGAAAACTAGTGAAATCTGAATAAAGTGTGGAGTGTAATTAATAGCAATGCACCAATGTTGGTCCCTTAGTGTGATGAGCGTACCTTAGTACTGTAAGATGTTTACAATAGGGGAACCTGGGTGACGGGTGCCTGGGAACTCTCCACACTACCTTAGAAACTTTTCTGTAAACCTAAAACTAATGTACAATTAAAAAAAATTTTTTTTCAAAGATCCTTGGACTGCCATGTGCAGATTGAGTTGTGGGGGAGCAAGAGTGGAAGTGACTGGGGATGAGAAAGTGGGCAGTAGTGAGGTGTGGACCTGGCCAGGAGACTGGTGTGAAGAGGGGGAGGACGGGGATCAAGGATAACCACTGGTGTTCAGCTTAACGACTGGGGGAGGATCAGGTTGTAGGCAGAAAACACGGATCCAACCCAAGGCTCATTAACCTTGCGATGCTTGTTACACATCCAAATAGAGTGTCTGTCACATAAGCATTTGGATGTATAAATCTACAACTCGGGGAGATAAAGGAACTGAGGATATAGGCATCTATCAGCATCCATACTGTATTTAAAGCAATAAAACGTGATTCATTCTTCCAGCAGATGTTCTCTGAGCACCTACGTGGTTGCCAGGTTCTATTCCAGGCTCTGGAGTTAAAGTAATGAGCAAAGTGAGCAAAGAGGAGGAGGCAGCCAGACGGACAGAGGGAAGCTGCGGTCTCAGGCAGTGGCCAGGGCTAGGAAGAAAAGAGAACAGGAGAGACGTGGGAGCAGAGAGTTTGGACGGGGTGATCAGGAGGGAATTCTCTAAGGAAACTGCATTGGAGCAGAGACTTGAACAACATGTGGAGATGAGCTACACGGATACCCAGGGAAAGAGCATTCCAGGCAGAGGGAACAGCAAATGTAAAAGCTCAAGTGTGAGATGGGTGATAAAAATGGGAGCTGCCAGCACATAGCTGTGTACCAAAAGGAACCGTCACCAGAGAGCAAGAAACTGGTGATTGAGAAGAGGCCACACAGACAGAGGGAAGTCCTGAAGGTCACAGAGCACCTTTGGGAGCTGGCCTTGGAGAGGGCCAGGGACCTTTCTCCAGGCTAATGGGAAGGAAGGAAGAGTGTAGGGTGCAGAGGCTGGCCGCCTCTCAGATTTGAAAGCAGAAGCCAGTAATGATTTCTGGGCCAAGGTTGGGGGTGGGGAACAATATTTGCTTTGAAAAGATAGTTTGGACCCTTTAGATGGAAGATTGGAGGAAAGGCAGAGGCCACAGCTCAAGAGAAAGGTAATGAGGTCCTGAGCTGAGGGCTGCAGGGGGTTATATAAGTTCCCGCTTGCTGCTGTAGCAAATTACCACACACTCGATGGCTTCAAACAACACAGATTTATTATCTTACAGTTCTGGGGGTCAGATGTCCAAAATGGGTCTCACAAGGCTGAAATCAAGGTGCCTGCAGAGCAGTGTTCCCTTCTGGGTGTTTTAAGAAAGAATCCACTTTCTTGCCTTTTTCAGCTTCTAGAGGCTGCCCACATTCCTTCACTTGTGGCTTGTGGCACCCTTCCAACTTCAAAGCCAGCAGGGTAGATCTTCTCCTGCCTCTCTCCTTCACATTTAAAGAAACCTTGTGATTACACTGGGTCCACTCGGATAACCCAAGATAATCTCTATTTTAAGGTGAGCTGGAACCTTCATTCCATCTGCAACCTTAATCTCCACCCTTGCCATGCAGCCAGTGTATTCACAGGCTCCAGGAATTAGGACACGGACATCTTCGGAAGGGCCATTATGTCACCCACCATAGGAATGGATCAAGAGCCTGTGCAAGGAAGTACAATAACTGAATTTAGCAAGGCTTAGCAAGGAGGGTGGCATCCCTGCCTGTTGGTGAGGGGTGGGCATTTGGGAATCAGACAGATTGGGTGCATGCCCACTAGAAGGCAAAGGGCAAGCATCCAGCCCTCTCCAGGTCTCAGGTTTCTCATCTGTTAAAGGAAGGTAGCAGCATCTACCTCACAGAGTTCCTCCAAGGATTAAAAATTAAATCCTGACACAACCTGCTACCAAGAGGAGATCAGTAAATAGTAACTATGGATATCATTGGCAACAAAGCTATTGGTAGTGTCAAGGGGCTGTTGGGATGAAGGGAAAGAATGCAAAAAAGCAACTTGGGTTACTCAACTGGGCCACTGGCTGAACAGAGTGAAAGAAGTCACTGAAGGAGAATCCAATAAGGAAAGGACAGCCAGAAAACAAGTGCAATTTTCCACATCTGGGTCTGGGCTTTCAAGGGACCCGCCGAGGAGCCATGTCACTTTGGGTGAGTTACCCTGGCTTTACTGCCTCACCCTTGCAGTCCTGCCTTGTAGGATAATGATAAAGATTAAACACAATGACCTTCGTCAGCAGAGTACAGCGCCTGGCACATAGCACACACACACTTAACAAACACCAATAGTGTGCACTATTATCCAGGAGGCAGTTCAATATTACCCCACCGTGGAGCTCAGGGAAAAGGTTTGAACTGGACCTGAGGAAATTGGAGAAGCACATGGACGCGGCCTGCAGTTGGACAATAACAGCCTAAAGTAGGCTTAGTGGCACTGCTGGCAGCAAGCCCCCACTCAGTCTGTCCCTGCAGCACAGACCACAGGCCACAACTCACCATGGGAACAGCAGGGACATGGAGGGGTGCACAGGGAGAGGGCCACCAGGACTTGCAGAGGACTCAGCCGGGGTCACCCAGGTGAGGCCAATGCCCCTTCTCTGGGCTTACACAGCCAGGATGCAGAAGCCGGCTGGACAACCCCAAGACACTGTCATTATGCCCTGCTTCCCTGTCTTCCCCAGAAGCCTGTTGGAAGGAGGAGCAGGAATTCAAGAGCAGCCTTAGGGTTTCATAAGACTGTGAGATGCTTCCAATCAGATAGAGAAAAGCTCTATTTTTTTCTGCAGGTCAATGACTTTTAATAATTCTCTACAGACTTAGACATCCAATTAAAACTCCTCAAGGGCAAACGCTGGGCCTCATTCATCTCCAGGTAGCAAGAACCCAGTACTGGGCTGCATTATTAGGGATTCAAAGGAAGAAAATGAGGAAGAGAAGAAGAGAAGGAAGGAGGGAGATAGGCTGGGGGAGAAGGAAGGAAGGAGGAAGGGAAGGACAATGAAAGAGAGGTAGGAAGATGGGAAGGGATACAATGAATGAAGACAAAAATTTTGTGGGGGTTTTTCTGAGCCTGGAGAAAGCATTTCAAGGCCCTTAACTGTTATAAATAAACAGCTCGGCACCTGTTCCCTCTGCCAACTGATCACAGGCATCTTGGTGTGACAGAACTGAGTGGCCAGGCCAGGGTCACACTGGAGGTTTTCCCGAGCCAGAGCTTAACCCAGGGTCTAAGTCCCCACCCACCAAGCCAGACCAGGCCTTGAGCCAAGCTGAGAAGTCCCCAGAGGCTTAGGCAGAGCTACAGAAGTGTGGAGAGGACAGCAGAGACCAGAACCCCCACAGAAGCCACAGGAAATGCCCCTGCCACTTCTCCGATCAGTGGCAGCACCATCCCCAAGGTCAGCAGCTGCAATAACCCATCATCTGGGTCCTGGAACCAGCCTGGGGCTTTGCAACTGCTATTTCTGCAAACCACTACTATTTATTCTCTAATTTATTTATATTGTGTTTATCATTATTATCATTACTGCAATTTTCAGTTTTCCTCATCCTCCTTTTGAAAATGATGCCACAGGGAAATCATTTTCCTTTAACCAGTTGGCCGGGTCCATGGAGACCCAGAACATGCCACTGAACTGTGCAGAAATGGATGATTCCTCCTTCTGACTGAAGACTCCAGCCACCTCCTGATCCCCACCCCTGATGTTCCTGTCTCCAGGCTGCCTGTCCCAGGGCGAAGCATGATGACATTCCAGGACTTTCTAAAGAGCTTCCACCCAGACTCAGAGTTCCCTCCCTGACCCTGCAGGCTTAAATCCTGTGATGTAAAGGAGCAAATACACCAACCCCCGTTTAGCACATGGAAAAACTGAGGCATTGGGCACTGCCTCTGCTTCCCTGAGCTGCATTGGGAAACAGCTTCTCCTCCTTTACTCCCTTCACACTCTGAGTCATCCTCCCTTTTCTCCTCACTCCCAAAGGCTCCCGGGTGGCACCCACACCTACTGTGGGATGGCCTCGTCTGGTGTCTCCAAACCTCTTGAAAAGTACACACAGAATTGGGTGTGTCAGCACGGTGTGTACAGCACGGTGGCTCACGCCTGTAATCCCAGCACTTTCAGAGACCAAGGCGGGCAGATCACCTGAGGTCAGGAGTTCGAGACCAGCCTGGCCAACATGGCAAAACCCCATCTCTACTAAAAATACAATAATTAGCCAAGCATGGTGGTGTGCGCCTGTAATCCCAGCCACATGGGAGGCTGAGGCAGGAGAATCTCTTGAACCCAGGAGGTGGAGGTTGCAGTGAGCCGAGATTGCACCACTGCACTCCAGTCTGGGCGACAGAGCAAGACTCCCCCTCTCAAGAAAAAAAAGAATTGGATGTGCTGCTCTGACTTTCCAAACAAGCTGGAAAGGGTTGGAACCTTTATCTCATCCTCTCCACGGAATGTGTGCCATCCTCTCACAGTGGCCACAGTCAGCCACCCCCAGGTGTGACCAGCCCTGGCAAGGCCCCCACAGGGCTGTGCTGGGGACCATGAATCTGGGCTGCCCTGATGGCAGTTGTATTAAAATGTACCTGCAAGATCTTAATTGAGGTGACTGAGTGATGGCACACAGAAACTAATACCACTGAAAGATTTTATTATTATTCCCAACTCCCCTAGAAACGGGAGGCATCACCAGCCACGGCCACGCAGGCAAGCACCTGAATCAGGCAGGAGGCAGAAGCCAGCACGGGGAAAGCAGAGGCCATGCCTCTATCACAAGGCTCTTGGGAAGACAAGGTGGGGCAGGGTGGGCAGGCCTCAGGCTGGCTCCTCTGAATAATGTCAGTGGGCTCTGAGTATAAGGGTGGTCCCTAGCTGCTTGGTACCTGACCCTGGAGTGCTTCAGGGTAGGGAAATATTGCTGGGTGGGGAAGAGTTAGATAAAGGAGATGATTAGGAGGATGGGCTCAGGAATGGCTGGTTGGGGCATGAAGGGTGTGTTCATAGGCAAGATGTTTACCCTGTCTAGGAATCAGCTGGCCCTGGGGGAAGCCATCTCTCCCCAGCTGACAAGGCCCCTGCAAGACGTCAAAACATCATAAAACACAGAAAATTTAAAAACATGAAGAATACAGCAGAGAGGGAAGGCGAGGACAGAGGACAGCCCTGACTCTTGTATCAACACAACCCAAACATAAGAAGTCAACCTTCCTCAGCCCCCAGCTGCCCCCACCCCAGGCAGAAAGCAGCCCTTTCACACCAGTTTTCCTTCTGAAGCCTCCCTACACTGTCGTTTCACTTTGGCCTCACCTGGCTTAGATAGGAGGGGGGCAGGCAGAGCAGAATGCAGGGAGATGGACACAGTCTGTCTGGGTGGCTTCATCCTGTACTCCCCATGGACCTTCCAAAAGCCAGACGTCCCCAGTCAAGAGTGTCTCACACACCATCTAGACACCATGAGTGCTTAAGGACACAAGAGTCCCTGTGGGGGGCCTGCCTCTGCCCTGGCACATCCTCATCTCCCCGGAAGTCCCACGCTGCCGTCAGGGGTCACATGTGAACAAGCCTCCAGACCTGGCTCACTACACACAGGGCCTTCTTCTCAGCAGCCTGGCGGGAGGGGCTGTCACAGCCACACATGTGAAAGCCGGCATGGCTTACGCACACGTGGCTCCAGGAATCCAGAGGCCCTACTGCCTGAGCGCCTTTATCTCTCTGTCCCCTGCCAGTTAATGCTGACAGTCCTCTTTAATTCTTCTTCCCTTTCACATCAAGTCAGGTTCAAATGCCCATCTCCCTTTATTCTTTATAAAATGTGATTCTTTTCTTTATGCTAAGAAGGTGTTGTATTTGAAGCAAAGCCACCTGGGGTGCAGCTCATCACCACAATTCTTTCAAAAGTCCCTAAGTCTCTCCAAGCCTCAACTTCCTCATTTGTAAAATGGGAATGGGCCAGGTGACGAGGCTCATGCCTGTAGTCCAGCACTTTTGGAGGCCAAGACGAGATGATCACTTGAGCCCAGGAGTCTGAGACCAGCCTAAGCAACATGGTGAAACCCTGTCTTTACCAAAAATACAAAAAATTCACTGGGAGTGGTGGTACACACCTGTAGTCTCCCAGGAGACTGAGGTGGGAGGATCACCTGAGCCTGGAAAGTCGAAGCTGCGGTGAGCTGGGATGTCATCACTGTACTCCAG
This sequence comes from Homo sapiens, assembly GCF_000001405.40. Classification (NCBI taxonomy): domain Eukaryota; kingdom Metazoa; phylum Chordata; class Mammalia; order Primates; family Hominidae; genus Homo; species Homo sapiens. The sequence continues at coordinate 237,934 of NW_017852932.1, forward strand.
TCAGGATGAGAGAGAGATCCTGTCCCTAAAATAAACACATAAAAATAAATAAAATGTGAATAATAATTCTACCCTGTGGGATTGATGTGATGATTCAGTGAGAGCATATGTGAAGTTCCTGGCACAGAGCTGATAACACACACAAAGGTAATGCTGGCCTGGATGCTCCTAAGCCCTTTGAAGTACCAGAGCTGAAGGGCCTTAGGGTTTGGGGAGAACACAGCTGGATCTCTGAGGACACCAATGGGCCTGCCCATGGAGGAAAGGCCTGGATAGGAAGGCTGGGACCAGAGGCACATGCTCCTCTTCCCAGTTCAGCTGAGGATGTTGCTACTACCTGGTCTTGCCCAAAGAGACCTCCCCTCAATGAGAGGCATCCACTCATGCTCACTGGATGGCTCTCTAACAACAGTTAGCCCAGACCCAAGCAGGGATCCCAAAACACTGGATAACCACCCAGGCATCGGGACTGAGGATGCATCATGTTTATGTGTGATACAACCCGACAGGGTAAGAATTAATAATTGTCTTTGGCTGGCGAATTGCACGTCAATAATGCAGAATGGATGATATAATTGCACAGTGTGCCTAACTATAAACTATAGTGATGATAATAATTGGATTAATTAACCTGGAAAACACTAAGCACAAAGGGATCTATGGTCACTAAACAGCTGCCACAGAACCTGGAGGCGGGGGAAAGGGAGACTGCCGGTCTGTGTCAGCAACAAGGAGCCTGTTGGCATGGTGGCTGCAGTAGTCCTCTCACAGGGATGGCATGTCTACTAACCATCGGTCCCTGGAGGAGCTGTTCTGGCCTCCTGGCTGAAGATGCCAAGAGCTGGGGGATCCCCAAGGTGGAGCCTCTCTCTTAAAAGATCCGGTGATACTGGTAGCAGAACTGGAGACTTGTCCAGAAATGAGCCAAGAAGGATGACTGCGCTGCTCATCTCTTTGTGTCACTGGCATTGTTTTGGTGCCCCAGCAAAGGCTAGAGACACAGGGACATGCTGCACATTCTGGTGATGAAAGAACCAGCTGCCTTTCCTTGCAAACGCCTCACAGCAGCAAAGATGGCTGATCTGGTGGTGACAACTAGCCCCTCCAAGCAAACGCTTTCCCTGGCTGGGTTGTCAGCACTGTCTTAGCACCATGATCTGCTCTCAGCCTGGCATTCAGGACACACTGAAGCCCACAACTTTTACCTCCAACCTCTTCCAGTCTCTTCAACACTCTAGTCACGCCAAGCAACAGGCAAAGGGGACCAGAAGTCCAGAGGGGCCCTGTTCCAAGTGGTCACGTTGGCTTCTCCTCTCCTTCAGGTCCCAACAATATCTCCTCCACCTTGTCCTCCTCAGGGAAGTCTCCATCTGGACAAGGGCAGCTGTCACAGAATTGATCTCTACACCCACTGCTCCAGCACTAGGGCTCTGCCACCTGGCGATGGGACTCAACAGCCTCATGTGCACTCAGCACGTTTCCCAGTTAGAGAGCCATCTCCTACAGGTAGGCACAGTATCTTCTGCTCCTTGAATAGTTTTGGCCACATCATAGGTTTTCATTAAACCCTTATTAAATGAATGAATTATAAATAAAAGGCCCTTAGTGGATTGCCCTCTATCTGCCGAGCAGTGTCACTTTCATTTAATCCTCACAACAACCCTGCAAAGTAGATATTATTATGCCTCTTTACAGATAAGGAACCGAGAAGCAAAGAAATTAATTAATCTGTTTAAGGTGCTACAGCTGGAAAATGGCAGGGCTGGAATGTGAGCGGAGATCTTCCTAATCCCACGGCACCTTTTTTCACTACATCTTGGTTGTGGCAAATAGAGTTTTACTTGCAATTTCAGTTTCTATAAACTAGGGATATGGTGTCTAACAACATAGACATTAGAATACGTTCTACTGCACCAAAAGTGTGGTGAGCCACAGAGATAATTATAGGAGGGTTGCAGATTGTCTCTTTCCAGAAAGTTCAAAAAAACCTTGCTATGGTTTCAGTGTTTCCCTCAAAGTTCATGTTGGAACTTAAGTTTCCTGGGGGAAACTTAATCCCCAATGCAACAGTATTGACAGGTAAGACCTTTAAGAGGTGGTTAGGCTGTAAGGGCTCTGCCAATGTATAGATTAATGTAACCCCAGGAGTAGATTAGTAATCACGTGAGTGGACTTGTTATAAAAATGAGTTCAGGCTGGGCATGGTGGTTAACACCTGTAATCCCAGAGCTTTGGAAGGTTGAGGCAGGAGGATCACTTGAGGCCAAGAGTTCAGGACCAGCCTCGGCAACATAGTGACACTCCATCTCTCCAAAATATAAAATAATTAGGTGGGGGTGGTGGCGCACACTTGTCATCCTAGCTACTCAGGAGGCTGAGGTGGGAGGATCACTGGAGACCAGGAGTTTGAGGCTGCAGTGAGCTATGATACATTGTCTATGCTCCAATCTGGGTAGCAGAGGGAGATTGTCTCTTAAAACAATAAATAAATAAAATGAGTTCAGCTCCCTCTTGTTCTGTCCCTGGCTCCCATGCTTTATTGCCCTTCTACCTTCTACCATGGGATGATGCAGCATGAAGGCCCTCGCCAGATGTCAGCACCATGCTCTTGGACTTTCCAGCCTCCAGAACTATGAGCCAAGTAAACTTCTATTCTTTATAAATTATCCAGTCTGTAATATTGTGTTATAGCAAGAGAAATGGACTAAGACAGAAAATTGGTACCAGGAATGGAATTGTTGCTATAACAAATACCTGAAAATGTGGAAGCAGCTTGGAACTGGGTGATGGGTAGAGGCTGGAAGATTTTGGAGAAGCATGCTAGAAAAAACATGGACTTCAGTAAACAAGCATTAAGCATGATTCTGGTGAGGGCTCAGAAGATGAGGAGCACTGTGGAGAAAGTCTGACTCTTCTTAGAGATTATTTAAGTGGTCCGAATCAGAATTTTGGGAGAAATATGAACAGTAAAAGCCATTCTGATGAGGTCTCACATGAAAATGAGAAACAGGTACTGAAAAATGGAGTAAAGGCTAGCCTTCCTATAAAGTTGCAAAGAACTTGGCTGAATTATGTCTATACCTGAGGGCTTTATAGAAAGCAGAATTTAAAAGTGATAGACTAGGGTATTTGTCAGAAGAAATTTCTAAGCAAAAAGCTGAAGGAGCTGCATGGCTACTTTAACTGCCTAAGTAAGATGCAAGAGGAAAGAAGTAACTTAAAGACAAACGTTATAATTAAAAGAGAAGCAGCATAGGAAGATTTCAAAAATTTCCAGCCTGATCAGATAAAGAATAAAAAACAGTGTTCAGGAGTACAAACTAAGGGTGTGGCAATTGACCATTTGCTAAGAAGATTAGTGTGGAGATAAGAGATCATCAAGACAATGGGAGAATGACCCTAGAAACATTTGAGAGATCTTTAAATCTGCTCCTCTCATCAAGGCTCAAAATTCAAGGTGGGCAGAATGATCTGGGGGGGTGTGTCAATGGTACCCTCCATAGACTTGCTGCCCAGAGTTGCCTTGGGTCACTGCTCCTCACATTGGATGCAGTGCTCCTTGGCTGCCCCAGCCATAACTCAAATGGGCCCAAGTGCTGCTCAACCCATCACTCCAGAAGGCACAAGCCATAAATTCTGGCGGCATTCACATGGTGCTAATTTTGCAGGCACACAGAATGCAAGAGTTGTGGTAGCGTGGCTTCTTCCACCTAGATTTTAAAAGATATTGTAGACTGCCTCACTCTCCATTTCCTCTGCTGTAAATTGAGATCAGTAGCACCTAGCTCATAGTGTCATTGCAGAAATGAAATGGAGTACCCATGTAAAGCTTGTCCTGGTTCACAGTAAGCACTCAATAATGCTAGCTATTATTATAACACGTTGAACTTCATTTAATTTAATACAACAATAAACTGATGTGATAGGTGTGATGGGCTAAAAGAAGTTAAGTATGATGGCCAAGGTCACACCCTGCTGTGTGACGAAGCTGGGAATCCATCCCATATCTACGTGGCTTATAAGAAATCAAGAGAGATCTGGGATTTCCTATACATGGAAACATTTGCAGGGACCTTGGGGAGGACTTAGGAAGTCTGGTAGAGGCAGGTAAAAGAAGGAGGCAGGAGAAATTAGAAGCATTTCCTGTGGGGGCCCAGAAGTCTACTCTAGAACTAAGGGGAGCTCAGAAAGCACTGGTCCCAATCCCCCACCTATGACAGACTAACAGACTGGAGAAGAAGAGAGCAGCAAAGGCAGCCAGTCCTGAAGTCACTGAAAAAACAGGGTGTGGAGCAGATGTCTTTTTACCTTACTGATGGGGTCCTAGCCTGCTGAGGACAGAAATCACTGGGCTAGTTCCAAGATAGCCTGGACCCCTCTCCCAGCAGCAAATTGTCTGCTTATCAGGAGTCTGTTGCCAATTATACTTATTATTGTTGATTATGCATCTAGATTAAATATTATGCAAAGCAATAAGCTGTAAATGCAATCACAAATGAAAAGAAGGCTGGTGATTCTAAGTACACCATATTGAATGCTTTGGAAAGGCTTGATAAAGGCAAGTCATTTAAAATGGTGTTAAATAATGTGTGGGTGAGACCACTAAAACAGACTGGGGCTTGGGGAGCAGGGTGGGAAAGTGGTGGGCATAATTATAAAAAATTTAGAATTCTGCGTTTATACTGCTTTGCATGGGTCTTGATGTTCTTATTTTACTTTAAAGAAACCCGGGATTTAAAGAAAACCAGAGTTCTTAGATAATGAATCACAGGCATGGTTGATCCAAGAACAATGAACGGAAACTCTGATTAGGAGACTCATACTCCAAGAATAGGCTTTGACCCCTCCCCAAAGGATTGGCAAATAAGTACACATGTATATATTTTAAACTAAGGCAAAATGCTTAAGATGCATGCATATCTTTTTTTGTAATTACAGTACATGCTTCAGCATTTTTAATTGGATTTGCCAGCTGCCAGTGCCCGCTATGTCAGAGAGGGGAGCATGGCCTGTACTTAAAAGAAGACAGTCAATAAGGTCCAAAGGAAAGGACCCATAAAAGCCTGTGCCACACCCCACCTGTGATTTTCCTGTAATTTGTGGCAACTAGGAAGCCTGGTGACTATGCCCAAGACCTAGCTGTCAGGGACAAGCAGGGATCCACCCTGAAGCCTTGTTGAGATGCGACCTTCCTGTAAGTACCACAGTTTTCATAGTATAGTCTCCCTTTAAAGAGTCAATGCACTAATCAAAGACCTGACCCTCTACTTAAGGCCTTTTAATGCCCTCGGCTTCCCACCTGGCACAGGCATAGTCAGGACATGTTGCCTTCTTTGGCATTCTCTGCTGATCCCAGGGCAGGGTCTTGTGCCAGGGAGCACAGGAACCCTCATTCTTCCATTTACCCTTTCACTTCACAAATATTTACTGAACATCTATTATGTTCAGGGATTACTTGTGAAATAAAGATGACAGTCTCTGCCCACTGTTAAGTAGAATAGACAGAAAAAGATTATAGGTACAATGCAATCAGCACTGCAATAGATGCTAAATGAATAGAGAAAGAAGAGACAGTAACCAGATACTGTATTGACTGGTTAATGCCAAGCTCACTGTTGGGGATGATCATATGCACGGGTGCACACACACATGCTCTCACACGCATACACACACTCACACACACCATTCCTCCTACCCTACAGCAGCTCTCAACAGTTCACAATGTACTCAGGAGCAGAGAACTCTAAACCTCCAAAAGAAAATGAGTTCAAAAACCCAGCTACGAGGTCAGGGAATGCCTCCCTCCCCTCTGGCACTGCAGTTACCTGGGAGGCAGGCAGAGCTGTCCTGCAAACCACCAAGAAGTAACCCTCCCCTGAGCTCCAGAGTAACTCCTTCAGCAACATGTATGGAGCAGATCAGCGAGGCTCCAGAAATTCCATCAGGAAATCCTCCACATAGTCAGCTCTCTAGAGGACGTGATTCTGACCCTGTTACTCCTCTGCTTGAAACATTTCAGTGATTCTGTCATCTACATGACTAATTAAGTCTTTGCCCCTTGACCTGGTATTGACCAGTCTCCATGATTTGTCAACTATTTCATCTCATCTCCAGCATTTTATCCTCTAATTCCAATCCACTTACACACAAAAAAAACACCACACACGTGCGCGCACACACACACACACACACACCTTGCTTTATGCATCCATGATTTTGCATATACTCTTCCCTCTGCAGGACTTGTTGGCAGCTTTTGTTTCTTTGTTTTATTTTCTGTGGCTTGGTCTTGGCTAACTCTTACTCTTCAAGATTCAACGCCAGCTGCATCTCTTCCTGGAGTCCTTCCTGAAGCCCCAGCCTCTCCAAGTGCTCACATAAAATCCAGTACCTATCCCGACCTTGTTATTCCTCAAATTATAATATCTCTTCATGTGCTTATCAAGCATGTATCAGTCTCTCTGGCCCCCACCAATATATAGCCCAGCACCCAGCACATGATCCATGCTCAATAAATATTGATCATCTGAGACAGGCAACCTAAAGCAAAACCCACCTCCTCTGTGTCATGAAATCTGCTACATAGGAAGGGCAGGTTTGTAGCTAATACAGTCAGAGCAAGCATGTAAGTGTAAGCATCCCCATGGAAGGTGTCCTGACCTACTGACCTGATACACTGTCTGCTTGTTAAATAGGTCCTAAGAGAATAGGAATAGATATATTATCCAAAATACATAAGGAACTCATACAACTTAGTTGCAAAACAAACAAACAAACAAACAAATTACCCAATTAAAAAGTGGGAACCTAAATAAACATTTCTCAAAAGAAGATATGCAAATGGCCAACAGGCATATGAAAAAAATGTTCAGCCTCGCTAATCATCAGGGAAATGCAAATCGAAACCACAATGAGATACCACCTGATACCCCTTAGAATGGCTAATCAAAAAGACAAAAGACAAGTGCTGTCAAGGATATGGAGAAAAAGAGTCTTTACCACTGTTGGTGAAAATGTAAATTAGTATAGCCATGATAGAAAACACTATGGAGGTGCCTCAAAAAATTAAAAACAGAACTGCCATATGAGCCAGCAATCCCACTACTGGGTATATATCCAAAGAAAATGAAATCAGTATGTCAAAGAGATATCTCCACTCCCATGTTCACTGCAGAACTATTTACAATAGCTAAGATATAGAAACAGTGTAAGTGTCCATTAATGGGTGCATAAAGAAAATGTGGTGTGTAAACACAGGGGAATATTATTTAACCTTTAAAAAGACGGAAATCCTGCCATTTGTGGCAACACACATGAACCTGGAAGATATTATGCTAAGTGAAGTACGCCAGACACAGCAAGACAGATACTGCATGATCTCGCTTACATGTGGGATCTAAAATAGTCAAACTAGGCTGGGCTTGGTGGTTCACGCCTGTAATCCCAGCACTTTGGGAGGCCGAGGTGGGCAGATCACTTGAGGTCAGGAGTTCAAGGCCAGCCTGGCCAACACTGTGAAACCCCGTCTCTACTAAAAATACAAAAATTAGCCAGGCATGGTGGTAGGCACCTGTAATACCAGCTACTCGGGAGACTGAGGCAGGAGAATTGCTTGAACACAGGAGGCGGAGGCTGCAGTGAGCCCAGACCACACCACTGCACTCCAGACTGAGTGACAGAGCGAGACTCCATCTCAAAAACAACAAAAAAAAGGCAAACTCATGGAAACACAGAGTAGAAAGGAGATGCCAGGGGACAGGAAGAGGGAGAAACAGGGAGGGGCTAGTCAAAGGTACAAAGTTTCAGTCATGCAAGATGTATAAGTTTTGAAGGTTTAATGGACAACGTGGTGCACTATACTTAACGATATTGTATTATATACTGAAATTTGCTAAGAAGGTAGATCTTAACTGTTCTCACTACCAAAAAAAAAAAAGAGAGAGAGAGAGATAATTATGTGAGGTGGTGTATGTTAATTAACTTGACAGAAGTGATCATTTCACTATGTATCTGCATATCAAAATATCAGGTTTCATACTTTAAATGTAGATAATTTTTATTTGTCTACTATTCCTCAATAAAGCTGAAAAAAAAAACAAAAAACAAAAAAAAGAGCTCAAAGTAGAGGACCCAGCCCAGGATACAGTTACCCGGGAGGCAGGACACCCAGCATTGAGCCGTTTCCACGTCCGTACTGGTGCTCTATTACATACCAACTCTGTACATAATCACCAAATTTCTGATTCAAAGTAAACCAATCCATTAGTCAAAAAAGGAGATTATTCACCATGAAGCAGAGGAGCTAAAAGGGGGCTTAGAGATCAGCTAGCAGCACCTGGGCATTTCACCACAAGGAACTGAAGGAATGCCTACAGCAAATTGTAATCAACCTGGTAGTGAGTGGAATGTAAGAGAAGTCTGTTCTCTTGAAAAGCTTATGAACAAGTTTGGGAGTTACCTGGTATATCGGAGAGAAAATGAACTTTACAGCCAAATAGACAGGGGTCCAAATCCCCGTTCTGCTGCTGCTAGCTGTGTGGCTTTCAGCATGTTACCAAATATCTTCTCAACATCTATTTCTTCACCTGCAAAATGGGATTGATACTATTTCACAGAGTCATGGCTAATTGAGATATTGTATAGATCACATACTTCTTCTATATTAAGTGCTCAGTAGTAGTTTCTTTGCAGGAACAAAACACTAGTATAAGGACTGTCATTAAGGGCTAAACTGTGATGCCCACTTCAAATACTGTTAGAGTTTAAAAAAAAAAAAAAGGAAATACCTGCTTGGGGCTTTACATAGAGCAGATTGATGGGGGAGTGAGTGGCTCAGACTGGAACAATTTAGAGTTGTTTCACACCTATCAAAACCATCTGAAACCTCTGCTGGGTCCTATAATCAAACCAACCATTCTATAGCCCATCTTTTCATACCTTGTTATGAGTTGAATTGCGTTTCACCAAAATTTATATGTTGAAATTCTAACACCTCCGGTATCTCAGAGTGGCATCTTATTTGGAAATAAGGTCGTTGCCAATGTAATTAGTTGAGATCACACTGGGATAAAGTAGACCCCTAATCCAATATGACTGGGATCTTATTTGGAAATAAGGTTGTTACAGATGTAATTAGTTAAGGTGAGCTCACGCTGGAGTAGGGTACAACCCTAATCCAATATGAAAAAAGGGAAATTTTGTAGAGACACACATACAGGGAGATGCCCTGTGAAGATTGGAGTGCTGCTGCCACAAGCCAAGAAACCACCAGGAGCTGGAGTAAGGCCTGGAACAGATCCTTCCCTAGCACCGTCAGAGGACGCATTGGGCTTGCGACATCTTGGTTCCAGCCCTCTAGCCTTCATAACTGGGAGACGATAAATTCCTGTGATTAAAGCCACTTGATCTGAGGTACTTTGTTATGGAAGCTCTAGGAAAATAGCAGACACCCCATCCCTGCTACTGCAATCGCCATCTTGCCCTGGGGAAGAACTGAATCCAAGCAGTGGGAACCAAGGCGAACTGCATTCACGCTCTTGGCTCAGGGACTCTGCGCTAAGCAAGTTCCCACCACCCTCTTCAAAGCCTATGGTTTTCTTTTCCCATCTGCCCAAGGGAGTGGATAAAACAGACTGCATTTCAGGTCCATGGATTCCTGAAGCTGGATACATGATCACAGAATCTCTGTTGGACAACCTCTTCAAGGTCTCCTAGACCTGTCTGGTTCTCAAGTCCACTACAGCTCCCAGCCATAGCTAACTTCTGCTTAAGCATAAATACTGGTAGGAAGTTTGTTACCTCTTTGAGAGTTCCATTAAAAAGTTTTTTTCAACTTTGATCAATGCAAAGTTTGTCCTACAAATAAGTTAGTTACAACTCTTTATTCCTATAACTTCCATCCCTTAGCCTGCTAGCTGTGCCCTCTGAGGCCCTGCAGAAAAGAAAATTAAAAAATCCAATCCCATTTTGTGGAAGCTCTTCAGGCACTTGGAGACTTGCATCTCATTCCTCTTAGTGTTCTCTTGTCTCAGCAAGATCTCCCTCTCTGCTCTTCTCCTCCCTGAAAGGGGGGTGGCCTTGCAGTCGTACATACCAAAAGGATTTTCTCAAGTCTGCACTGTTGCTTCCAGTTTGGGGTTTACAGTTGGGTTTGCAAGTTCTCGTGGCCTCCTGCCTCCACCTTTCTTCCCAGCCATGGCACACATTAGGTGGGGCCCTACTATAAGCCAGGTGCTGTGAAGCTAGGAGAACCAAGATTGAGCATGGTGTCACCTGGATGGCAAAGTCTTAGCAGGCAGGGTGACCCTGACTATTGGCACAATGTGGGAAAACCACTTTCCTCAAACAGGCAGTACATGAAAATTAAAAGGAGAGAAGAAAACGCAAACACCCTCCATCCTTTGGATGTCAGGCTCCAAAAAAGCTCAGTCAAGGAAAACATCATTTTCCCCACAAGAGGAAGAAAAAAAGAAAAGCTGAATTGACCTGCAAACAACCCCTGACCTCATTTGAAAAGACTCCTTTCTTTCAGCCAAGACCCAGGGTCCCTTCTCGGGGTGTAAATTCCCCGAAAAGCCAAATCTTTTCAGGACATGAAACTGTTGGCTGCCCTTTTGAGGACTGAGAGCAAAGAGCTCCGAAATTTATGCACTACATTAAGCGAGATGCCTTGGTATCCAACTAGGTTAAATTGCTTTCTATATTTAAATCGCCTGCTAGCTGGTTAGATGTGGGAGCCGCAGCTGTGAAATGGATAGTTCCAGCCAATAAACAGAAAGGCATAAATCCTAATGGATTAATCTGTTATAATTAGACAATTCTGCGTGACTTTGACAAGGAACCCAACTCTTGGGAGGGAGAAGAGAGGTGAGGCGGCCTTCAGGTGTCGGGTGCATGGCAAGAGAAAAGCAGGAGGTGAAAGGCGGGGTTTGAGGACCCAAGGAAGTGTTGCCAGGCTACAGACAGCATGGCCTGGTGGGGCTGAGATGGGTGGGCAGAGGACTAAGTGTTCCTCCTTGAAAAAGAGAGCCATGCAAATCCAGAAATTTGCATTCTAGATAAGAAAGGCAAGAAATAGCAGTAAACTTTCTCCTTTCTCTCTCATCTCCCTCCCCTTTGCCTGTAGAAGTTCTTTGCTTCTGCTTCTCAAAGGGGGCAAACCCTTTTGAGAAACTTTCTTGGGACTGCACATGGTGGCTCACACCTGTAATCTCAGCACTTTGGGAGGCCAAGGTGGGCAGATCACCCCAGGTCAGGAGTTTGAGACCAGCCTGGCCAACATGGCAAAACCTTGTCTCTACTTTAAAAAAAAAAAAAATTAGCTAGATGTCATGGTGTGTGATTTTAGTCCCAGCTATGCAGGAGGCTCAGGTACGAGAATCCAAGAATTGCTTGAACCAGGGAGGCAGGGGTTGCAGTGAGCCCAGATCACACCACTGCACTCCAGCCTGGACAGTAGAGTGAGACTCCATCACAAAAAAAAAGAAAAGAAAAGAAACTTTCTTGGGAGTGATAAGAACTTGGAGAAACCGACCCGAGGCACTTCATTATGCTCTTGTCTTCCTCTTGCAACTCCTTCCTCTCGTCAAGACCAGGAAACCCTAAGGAGAGTCACTGCCCAGCAGGGAGAGCCATCTCAGTCACCATCCCAAAGATGGCCGGTCCCCAGGGGCCTGAGTGAAAGGTGAGGAGCCGACACCCAGATTGAGGCAGGCTGGAGGTAGCTGGCAGGAAGTGCAGGTCTTTCTGGTCCAGGACAAGTACTGGGAAATTCCCCCAACCCAGATCAAGATAAGGAGGATGTCTAGAGTGTAAGAGGAGCTGGAGACACTTCTGGCACATTGGGGTCTAATCAAATTGACAAGTTAAGATCTTGTCCACCTGGAATTCCAGGATTGAAATTTGAGCCCCTGGATGCCCCCTGGAACCATCCTCTGTCTCGAGACAACCTCCAGGACCAGAATGACCTTTGCACCCAATGTGTCCAACTTATTACTCTTCCCTTCCAATCCAAGCCCTCAGCTCCAGTGAGACTGACCTCTTTGCTCCAGGAAGACTCAAAGAGAACGTAGCTAGGGAAAGAAACGGTGCAGGTAATGAAGGGTGAGAACCAGAGGATATCCAGGCTCAAAGTTTCAGGCTGTCTAGACAGAGCTTCTGAAGCCAAAACACACACATGCACGCGCGCACACACACACACACACACACACATCACACATACAAATGCTAAGAGGTACAACTCTGGCTTTATCTCAAGATAGAGAAGCCAAAAGGGTCGCCCAAACATTTAGATGATAGACTGTGGCCAGGGAATAAAGTGGGTTCTTGATTTGTGTTACGTGGCACTGAGAGCCAAGAGATCCTTGCTGGGCATCATATTGAGCCATGAGGCCTTGCATTCGCCAGCTGAACAGGCTGTGTACCCAATCAAGCCTCACACCTATGGTAATATTCTTCCACCATGAAAGAGTATCTGCTCTCCGCCTGTCTCCCCAGAGCTATGCAAAACCATAAATCCAAAGCCAGATAAATCATCAGAAATGAAGAGAGTGGAAATAAGACATGAGCAGCAAAAACAATCTAGAAAGAGAAGCATGGCTGCTATAGGCTTCCAGATCAGGCATGGGCAGCCTTGAGCCTCTGGGCAGAAGCCAGTGTGCCCCACTTAGGAGGCTCCACGTGGGGCTCCTGGGGAGAGAGGTAGGGTCAAAGGCAAGGACAGATGGGGACAAGCTGCTACCCAGCCTCTCTCTGCCTTCCCAGCACATCTGTTCCCTGTTCCCATCTTCCAGGTGAACCAGGCTGGCCCCCAACTCTGTATAAATAAAATAACAATCCCTATCAAAAGAAAACTTGAGTAAAGAGAGTATACCTGTGGGTGGGAAAGCTGAATCTTGTAAAGAAGTCAGTTCTTCACATAACACTTTATAAATTTAGTATAACTCCAATCAAAATGCCAGGGGAAACTTTTTTTCCTTAAAGTTTAACTAAGTGATTCAAATGGTCATCAGTAAAAATCAAGATACAATAATCTCCCAAAAGCGTTATTAAAATAAGGGTAATACAAGGAACTTGCTGTGACAAGTATTAAAACTGACTATAACTACAGCAATTAAATGGCATGGAGCTGATGAGAAAATTGATATGTAGTTCACAGACAAATTCAAGTATGTAAATGAATGACACATATATACAAATTTATTTTTTAAATAGAGGTCATCAGTAAGCACCCAGAAAAAGATTATTTGGGACATTTGGTTAAGTATGTGGTTAATAATTGAAAACAAATAATTTTCATCAAAGTAAACATCAGATGGATTAATTTTATCATTCATAAATCATATGAAATCATAAAATAAGTAAAATAGATGTAAGTAAATCATTAATTTGTTCTTGTCAATAATCCTACAGCAAAAAAAAAAAAAAACATTTTTTTCTAAGTCTTTGCCTATATCTTAAATTACTATTTGTAGTAGAAAATACTGTCTAAGCATAAGGGCAAGAAAGAGAAAGAAATTTTTCTACATGTAAAATTAAAGTCTGCGCATGTCAAAAACCCCATTGTAAACAAAAAGGCAAATTATACACGGGAATAAAATAAAATAAGGATATAATTAAACTATCCTTTTTATGTTATATGGAGAGATCAGACTTAGCAACAAAAAAAAATTAAAACAAAGAATATAGATTACTACATAAAAATACAAATGGCCATCAAACATTTTTAATAGTAATATCCAGTGCCATGAGATGATCATTCCCAATGATCTCCAATAGGAGTATAAATTGATTATAGCAGCAAACAAAAAAAAAAGTCCACACCCACTCAAATGTTCTGGAAAGTAATTTGACAATATGCAAGAAAAGTCTGACTTCTAGAAAGCTATTCTAAATAATCCAGGATATAGACAATGACTCATAAACAATGTTTTTTGCGTAGTACTATTGATAACAACAAAAAATTGAAAATAGTTCTGACATCCACTAACTGAGGACTGACTAAATAAAGTACAGTGCATCCACAAGGTAGACTATTCCAGTCATCTTCTATCAGTGGGATAGGAAAAGGATAAAAATATCATCTTAAATTTTAAAAAATTAGAACATAGGCTGGAATACTATTAAAATTGCACTTAAACATAGAAAAAGACTGGAAGAAATTTTTTAACATGCTTATAGTGGTTATCTCTGGGCAGTAGACGTAGAGTTATTTTAATTCTTGTCTTTACACCATTCTGTATTTTTCACATGTTCTATACTAAACACATTTCACTTTTATAATTAGAATTAAAAGCAATCAAGCTTGCTTTAAAAAAGATTAGTCCTCCAGTGTTCCAGGAAAAGAAAAAAGGGAGAGGTCCACCTCTCTAAAAAATGTTTCTGAAACAGCCCTGGTGCTTCCTCCTCCAGCAGTAAACAGAGTAACAGAGGCTTTAACTCGGGCTGACAGCTGGATTATTTATACTGGTGGCCACACCGCCGCTCGCTCACCTGAGGGGAGCTCCCTGCCGGATCTCCTCCTGCCCTAAATAAATCAGCTCCCACAAACCAAGCCTCACTGGTTGCACTTATCCATGTAAATTAGCTTGATTTGATATCCATAATTTCTCTCTTCAACGGCTACATTTGCAAGTACACACGCACCTGCTGCCTCTCCGATGTGGCCGGCACCCACTGAGCCATCACTGTCTCTTTCTAGTCTCACCTCAAACCGTCAGCCAGGCCTGGCTCTCAGGCTCCCACCTATGCCCTGATCAACACGGCTGCATTGCTGAGTCACTGCTCACACTGTTCTCCTCCCGGAATACCATTCTCCCTCCTGGTAGCCCGTCCACATCCTGCACTTAATGCAAAGGCCTCCATAGTCCCCCTGCTAAAACCCTGTGAGGACCCTATGCCAGTCATTGTGCATGAGACGGAAATGGATAAGCATGAGACACAGCCCATAAGAAGGTCATCATCAAGTGCTATAGATACACAGATAAAGAGACCATTGAACTCACCTAGAGGAATGCCACGGAGGCAGATGCTAGATGTTAAACGGTCATGGAAGACTTCCCAGAGGATGTGTTTCCTGACTGAGACGAGAAGGATACGTAGGAATCAGTCAGGAGGAAGCCGTGGGGGAGATTCTAGGATAGGAAACAGACTAAATGAAGACCCTGACATGTGGACAGCTGATGCAATAGGGACCCCCAAGCTGAAAGTTCTGCACTGAAGGAACAAGAAGCGGGAGGGAGGAAACAAAAGGGGGAAATGAGCTGGGAAATGCATAGAGAGCACTATGTGCTGTGCCTATGAACTCGACATGGCCCAGGACTTCCATAAAGCTGTCTCTCCCTTCCAAGCCCCCATGGGTCTGCTCAGGAGCTCTTCCTCAGCAAGCACCCACCTACCTGGGCTGGCTCATTAAAACAGCTCTGGGGTCTGGCAGGATTATCGGATTCACTCCTGTGTCTGCTGCTCTCACTTGGGACTAGCAGCTCCCTCCCTTCTACACTCTTGATGCCTGGCCTGGGCTCTCACAGAGTCATAGCTACCAGCAGCAGACTTCTTAATCCAGTCATTTCTCTTCTGGGCCTCCTCCAATCTGCCTTTCCTCCCCACCCTCCTCCAAAACTGTTCTTATCATGTCACCAGTCATCTCCCTGTTGTTGAATCCAAGGTGCAATTTCCAGTCCTCATTTTACATGACATGTCCACGACATTCAACACAGCACTGACCCTTCTCCCACGTACACTTTCTTCACCAGCCCTCCAGAACACCACAGTCTTCTCGCTGTTCTCCCATTTTGCTGGTTTGGCTCTCTCAGTCTCCTTTTCCAGTTCTTCTTCATCCAGAACTCTTAACATGGCCAAGCCTGGGAGCTCAGTGTTTGGCATCCTCTCTAATACTGTTTTAGTATTGTGTTCATGACAACCTAACTGCTGAACTCCCAATTCATCGATCCAATCATCTATATGAAATTTCACTTCGATGTTCAATATTTACCTCGAACTTAACATATCCCAACCTGAATTCCCCACAGCCCCACTCAGACACTGATACTCCCCATCTTCCTATCTCAGTGGATAGCAACTCTATCCTTCCAGTTGCTCAGGTCAAAGACCTTAGAACTATAAAGCTTCTAGAAAAAAATATGTAGAACAGTTTCAGGATCATGAGTTAAACAAAGATTTCTTCAACAGGATACAAAATCTACTAACCCGAAAGGAAATAAATAATAACATTACAAATAAGAGCTTCTGTCCACAAAAAAAATACCATTCAGAAAGTGACAGGCAATCCCAACTGAGAAATTATATTTGTGTTGTATATAATCAAAGGACTTGTGTCCAGAATACACAATGAAATCCTAAAAATCAACAAAAAAAAGGCAACCCAATTTTTGTTCAATGGAAAAAAGACATGAACAGGCATTTTTATAAAAGTTAACACTTCCAAATGGTCAATATACATGAAAATCTGCTCAATCTTTTTTCATCATCAGGGAATCAATAATTAGAACCATAGTGAAACACTGCCAGCAGAATTGCTAAAATACCAGCAGAATTGTTGAAATAAAAAGAACAGACAATACCAAATGTTACCAATTATGTATAGCAACTGGAATACTCATACATGTTGGCAGCAGGGTAATTAGGACAAATACTGTGAAAAAATGCTTAGCAGAAACCCATCTCTACTAAAAATACAAAATTAGCTGGATGTGGTGGCACACGCCTGTAATCCCAGCTACTCGGGAGGCTGTGGCAGGAGAATCACTTGAACGCGGGAGGCAGAGGTTGCAGTGAGCCAAGATAGTGCCACTGCACTCCAGCCTGGGCAACAGAGCAAGACTCCATCTCAAAAAAAAAAAAAAAAAAAACTAAACATATTTTTTCAGCTATGACCTAGCAATTCCATCCTTACACACCCTACATATGTGCAGCAAAACACACATACAAGAAGAATATTAACAGGATTATTATTTGTAATACCCAAAACCTGGAAACAATCCAAAATGCTCATCAGCATTAAATTGGATAAGAAAGCATTGTACATTCACACAATTCAATACTATACAACAATGAAGGAGAATGAATTACCATGACAAGCAACATTATGAATGAATGCCATAATCTCAAGTGAAAGAAGCCAGACACAAAAGAGTACATACTGTATTATTGCATTTATATCAAATTTAAGAGCATTAGCTGGGCGTGGTGGTGCACCCTTGTAGCCCCAGCTACACAGGAGGCTAAGGAAGGAGATTCACTTGAGCTCAGGAGTTTAAGGCTGCAGTGAGCCATGATCTCACCACTGCACTCCAGCCTGAGTGACAGAGCAAGACTCTGTCTCTAATAAATAAATAAATAAGGTTTAAAAGCAGACAAAACTAATCTATGGTTTTATAATTCAGATTGATGACAATCTTTGGGAAGAGGCACCAGGGGACTTCCAGAGAGCTGGCAGTGTTTCAATTTCTTGATCTGGGTGATGGTTACATGAATGTATTACTTTTGTGAAAGTTTATCATCTCCGAGCTCCTTAGAGGTAAAGCCTGAGATGGAGGTCCTTGTGGAATAGCTTATTGAGGGGATATGCTCAGGAGAAGTGGGGTGAGGAAAGTAGGCAGGCCAGGTATGTTAGGCCATTCTTGCACTGCTATTAAAAAAAATCTGAGACTGGTAATTTATAAGAAAAGAGGTTTAATTGGCTCATGGCTCTACAGGCTGTATGGGAGGCATAGCAGCATCTGCTTCTGGGAAGGCCTTGGGAAGCTTCCAATTATCGCAGAAGGCAAAGAGGGAGCAGGTGCATCACATGGTGAGAATGGGAACAAGAGGTGAGGGAGGGGAAGTACCAAACACTTTAAATGACCAGATCTCACAAGAACTCAGAGCAAGAGCTCACTTATCACTAAGGGGATGGCCCAAGCCATTCACAAGTGATGCACCCTCATGATCCAAACACCTCCAACATTGGGAATTGCAATTCAACACGAGGTTTGAGTGGGACATTCACACTATATTACTGCACCCCTGGCCCCCCCAAATACAAATGTCCTTCTCATATTACAATAATACAATTATGCCTTCCTAACAGTCCCCCAAAGTCTTAACTCATTCCAGCATTAACTCAAAAGTTCAAAGTCTCATCTGAGACAAGGTAAGCCTTTCCACCTATGAGCCTGTAATATCAAAAACAAGTTACTTACTTCCAAGCTACAATGGGAGTATAGGCATTGGGTAAACATTCCCATCTCAAAAGGAAGAAATTGGCCAAAAGAAAGGGGTTACCAGCCCTATGCAAGTTCAAAACCCAGGACAGCAGTCATTAAATCTTAAAGCTCCAAAATAATCTCCTTTAACTCCATGTTTCACATCTCAGGCACACTGGTGCAAGAAGGGGGCTTCCAAGGTCTTGGACAGCTCCACCTCTGTGACTTTGTAGGGTTCAGCCACCATCGCTTCCCTTACTGACTGGAGTTGAGTGCTTGCAGTTTTTCCAGGTGCAGGGTGCAAGCTGCTAGTGAATCCACCATTCTCAGGTCTGGAGAAAGTGGCCCCCTTCTCACAGCTCCACTAGGCAGTGCCCTATTGGGGACTCTGTGTGGAGGCTCCAACCCCACATTTCCCCTTTGCATTGCCCTGGTAGAGGTTCTCTGTGAAGGTTTCGCCTCTGTAGCAGGCTTCTGCCTGGGCACCCAGGCTGTCTCATGCATCCTCTGAAATCTAGGTGGAAGCTCCCAAGCCTCTTTCATTCTTGCATTTGTGCACCTACAGACTTAACACCACAACAAAGCTGTCAAGGCTCATGGCTTATACCCTCTGAAGCAATGTCCCAAGCTGTATCTGGGGCCCTGTGGCTGAAGCCAGAGTGGCCAGGATGCAGGGAGTGCTGTACTGAGGCTCCTCAGGGCAGCAGTGCCCCGGGCCTGGCCCAAAAAAACTAATCTCCCCTCCTAGGCCTCTGGCCCTGTGATGGGAGGGCCTGCCAGGAAGGTCTCTGAAATGGCTTCAAGGCTTTTCCCCCACTGTCTTGGATATTAGCACTTGGCTCTCTTTTAGTTATGCAAATATCTCTAGCAAGTGGTTGCTCCACAGCCTGCTTGAATTCCTCTCCTGAAAAAGCTTTTTTTTTCTCTCTCTCTGCCACATGGCCAGGCTGCAAATTTTCCAAACTTTTATGCTCTGCTTCCATTTTAAATATAAGTTTCCAATTTAACTCATTCCTTTGCTCTCACATTGAGCATAGATTGTTAGAAGCAGCCAGGTCACCTCTTGAACACTTTGCTGCTTAGAAGTGTCTTCCACCAGATACCCTAAATCATCACTATGAAGTTCAAACTTCCACAGATTTCTAGGGCATGGACAAAATCCAGCCAAGCTCATTGGTAAGGCATAACACATGTGACCTTTGCTCTAGTTCCCAATAAGTTCTTCATTTCTGTCTGAGACCTCATCAGCCTGGACTTCACTGTCCATATCACTGTCAGTATTTTGGTCACAACCATTTAACCAGTTTCTAATAAGTTCCAAACTTTCTCTCATTTTCCTGTCTCCTTCGGAACCTTCCAAACTCTTCCAACCTCTGCCTATTACCCAGCTCCAGAGTGACTTCCACATTTTCAGGTATCTTTATAGCAATTCTCCACTCCTCAGTACCAATTTTCTATGTTAAGCCATTCTTGGACTGCTATGAAGAAATACCTGAGACTGGGTAATTTATAAGAAAGGAGATTTAATTTTCTCATGGTTCTGCAGGATATATAGGAAACATAGTGCTTCTGGGGAGGCCTCAGGAAGCTTCCAATCATGGTAGAGGGCAATGAGAGCACAGGCACATCACATAGCCAGAACAGGAGCTAGAGAGAAAGTCAGGTGGCAGGACTGGTGTCATGCACCTTTAAATGACCAGATCTCGCAAGAACTCAGAGCGAGAGCTCACTTATCACCAAGGGGATAGCCCAAGCTATCGTTAGGGATCTGCCCTCATTATCTAAACAACTCCCACGAGTCCTCACCTCCAATATGGGGGATTACAACTCAACATAAGATTTGGGTGGGGCATCCAAACCATATCACCAGAAGAGAGCCTAGCAGGGATGTGGTCTTGCATAGAGATGGCACAGTTCCTTCTGTGGGTGCATATTTCAACCCAAAGTTTACTGGGGATAAAGGGGAGCCTTGGAGCCCATCTGAAATTCTCTCTTTCTCTCACACCACACACTCCACCAGCAAAACCTATCAACACCACCTTCAAAATACATCCAGAATCTGACCACTTCCACTGCTACACACAGGACTTCTGTCACCTGGCTCACTGTCTTAACTTCCTAACTGATCTCCCAGATTACATATTTGCCCCCTGTAGTCTAGTCCCAATACAACAGGCAAAAGGATCCCTTGAAATCATTATTCAGATCATACCACTGCTCAGCTCAGAATCCTCCAGTGACTCCATATTTCACTCAGAAAAAGGACACAAGTCTTTACAATGACCTGGAAGACCCTAGCACACGATCTTGCCCCCATCACATCTCCAACCTCATCTCTCCACTCACTCCCACAGCCACACGACCTTACTGCTATTTCTGCAACACACCAATTCACTCCCGTTTTGCATCTCGTCCCCTGGATGTTTCTCTGCCTAAAAAGATCTCTCTCCAGAGATTCATAGACGAAAGCCCTCACTTCTTCCTTGAAATATTTACTCAGATATCTTCTCGGTGAGCCCCAGCTACCATATTTTAAATTGTTCCCTCCCACCCACTGTTGTACATGTCTCCGGTTCACCTGACCCCACTGCGTTTTTTTCTGCAGCACCTATTTTCTTCTAGTATACTAGATGATGTGCCTATTAAACATGTATTGATTATTGGTCATCTCCCTCCACCCCAAAACACACATATTCACTCATTTAATTCATTGCTGCTGGTTCCAAATGGCACCCATTCAATACTCCAGGGATAAATGAATGGGTCACTCTGTTTTGCTCCTCAGTTTTTGGAGATATGGGAGAAGGATGGTGGATTCCATGACAGAAAGGCTGTGATGCCCCACAGTATGGGCAGTAATCGTGATGTGTGGATAGGATTACTAGAAAAAGGAAACTTTTAGAAATTTTTGCAGGTGTTAGGTGCAGCCTATCTTCCCCTAGTTCCTCAAGAGAACCTTCAGTCAAGAGCTATTTTTTCAATCTCTGGGTTTTTTGGTGTTAGGTATGTGATGTTTGTTGCCTAGAATGAATTGCAAAAAGCATTAGTCTACTTTGTGGTTTTATGTCCCTGACACCTAGAGCCCTGTGGAGTTCTTCTGGCACCTAGTAGACCTAACTCAGTATTTGCTGAATTAATGAGCTGCCCCTTCATACTGCTCTTGGCTCAATGTCAGAATCTGGACCTCCCACACTCCTCTTCTGGCAAGGACCTTCTATCCCCAACATCTCACTCTATGGGACACATGTTGCATCTGCCACTCAACTGGGCAGTTTCCCTGTCCTAAATAGTACTGTCACTGCATTGATTCATCGTAGTTCACCGCTTAGGCTCGAGGCTCTAAGTGAGCAAAGAGCATGTCTTCTGCATCTCCCATTCCCTGCAGGCTCTAGCACAGTGCTGGGCTGGAACAGAAGCTCAATAAGTACTGTGGGAAGAATGAACAAATGTCATTTACATTGAATTTAGAAGGTAGCCTCAGCAGCAACTTTAAAGGCACTAATGAAAGTATATCATACCCACCCCCAAAGTGAATCCAGGGGACTTCAAAAAAATTTCCCCTTTGACTAGCAAGCAGGTTATAGGTGGGAAGTAATGGTCATAAACTGCCTGCAGTTCATTCTGGTTTTAAAAGTTCATTTGGTGCTCACACATTGCTGGCTAGAGATAATCAATGGCCAGGAGCAGAGGGGAGAGGTCAGCACCCAACTCTCAGGGCGAACAGAAATGGCGTCCCCCTGGCCATGATGGATGGCAGCAACCTTCAGTTTCTAATTGCTCCCAAAGAATTCATGTATGACTCCAACCCCAAATCACACACATGGGGAGAGGAAGGACAGAGCCAAGGCAAGAGGCTCGGTCAGCAAAATTGGAATTGCTTGAGAAATGGAGGAGAAAGAATCCCCCATCTTAGCCTGCCCTATAAACGCCTAAGTGATGTATTTCCTTCCCCCGTTGACTTTTTTTAAGTATCTCTCTCATAAGTCATTAATAACTAATTTCACAATTGCTGCATCATGTGACAGTCATAAAATATTGCCTGCACTTTTCCCAGAAAATTTCAGTATTGAGCCAATAATTGAATCCAAATTATCTATTAAGTTAATTCTTTAGTAGACAATATTTTACACTTGAAGTCATTTTTCACCAGTACTCTGGAATGAAGTAATTGTGGAATTAGTGATGACTTTTCCCCCTCCTGAACAAGTAAAAATAAAATTGCTGGGTTCAGCCTGGAGGGTGTCAAGCTGTTATGAATTCTTTTCTTCTCTATTTTTCCTCTTGCTAGTTAGAACTAGCTCCCTGTCCTCAGAAATCACCCAGCTGACAGCTGAACACTGCTTCTGTATGGTCAGTGTCATACCCGCAACTGTCCTGGACCAGCTCATTTGCAGAGTCATGTGTTACCCTCTCTGGCCAGGGTCTGGCTTTTAAGAAAACTTTGTACTTTTTGTGCAGACAGGTGCAGAGTTCACTTGGGAAGTCCAGCCAACCCACACTTCTCTTTTCTGAGAGCCAGTCCTACCTACAGACATGGTCCCCTAATAGCTATGTTTGTTCCTGGGACCCTGTCTCCACCCTTCCTCAATGCCCTATTTCTGGCCAGAAACCAATTAGACCTGGATGGACACCTGACCCAGGCTGGGGAAATCAGAGATTGTCTTACAAGATTTTGAACTTGAGTGTAAGAGGCACCAGCCAGTCTCTGTTTCTCCTTTGAATTAAGGATGTAAAATTTTCATGCACTTTGCACAGGATAATTGTTTCATCAACCTCAAATTTTCATAGATCCAGAGGAGTTGAATTGAGGGGAGAGCGAGAGCAAGAGGGAGAAGGAAATGAAACAGAGAACAGGAACACGAGAGCAAGGCCAGTCAATGGATGAGAAGAACTGAGCACCCAGAGGAGGAGGCACAGAAAGTGGGGCATGAAGCCTACTTCTGATTTGGGACTGTGAGATCCTGTCTTCTTATGTGACCTGAATAAAGTGTGGCATTGTGTTTCTTCCTTTATTATAAGAACACATTGGAAGAAAAAAACAGACGTCACATAGCTAACACTAAAAAGTCTAGAGATTTAAAAAATAGCTCTTGACTGAAGATCCTCTTGAGGAACTAGGGGAGGAGAGGCTGCACCTAATACCTGCAAAAATTTATAAAATTTTCCTCTTCCTAGTAATCCTATCCACACATGAGGATTACTGTCCACACTATGGAGGGCCACAGCCTTTCTCTCATGGAATCCACCATCCTTCTCCCTATACCTCCAAAAACTGAGGAGCAAAACAGAGTGACCCATTCATTTGTCCCTGGAGTACTGAGTGGTGCCATTTGGAACCACCGGCAAGATAAGCAGGTTCCTGCTCATCAGTGAGGTACCAGCAAGACTCCTTACAGCCTAAGAAGACATCATTAAATACTTTTGGCCTTGTCATATCTACCGTCAAGTTCCCACTTTTCACAGAATTGATTTAAGTGAGTTTCTATTATAATCAACCAAAAAGACCTTGCTCCAGAGAAAATTCCTAGAGCCTGCTATGCCTCAGTCTTTGACCCTACTTGATGGAAAACAGCAGAGGAGGAAGAGCGTGAGATGTGAGGCCAGACAGACCCCGATGTGCATGTGGTTTCTTCTTAAAAAATAAAAACAGTGAAGCTCACGTTTCTCCATTCAGTGGGACTTGCTGTGGTTTGGGGTAAGCAGCTTTGCTAGAGTTGGGGAAGTTCTCTTCTAATTCTAGTTTCCTGAGAAATGTTTTAGGATGATAATTATTGCTATAAACAGGTGTTGAACCTTGTCATTTTTATTATTATCATTATAAACAGATATTGAACTTCATCACATGTTTTTTATGCAACTCCTGGGATAATCATACGATGTTTTTTTTCTCCTTTGGTCCACTAATGTGGTGAATTGCCAGACTTTCTGCTGTTAAACCGCCCTGCATTCTTCCCGGAAACCCACCGACATGACTGGATTCAGTTAGCTAATGCTTTATTTAGTATTGTTTTCATCTATTTTTGCAGGTGAAATGGGCCTATCATTTTTTACTCCTTTCCTTGTCTAGTTTAAGAGTAACAATTAAATTAGCTTCATTAAATGGATCAGACCACTTTTTTCCTCTTTCTATTTTCTGGAACAGCTTCTGCAAGATGAGGATTATTTTCTCTATAAATGCTTTGTAGGATTTAATTGTAAAGGGATATGGGCCTAGTTCTTTAAAGGCAGGGACTGGCTAGGATTTTAATTTTTTTACTCATTACTGGTCTGTTTGGGTTTTTTATTTATTCTTTGCCAATTTTGGCATTTCTCATTTTTTTCAGAAAATATCCAATCCATCTAATTTTTAAAATGTACTGGTACTTTATAATATTTTTGTAAGATTATTTGAATATTTAAACATCTATTGTGTCTGTCATTTTCCTTTTTTAATCCTGTCTTATTTCTTTTTCTCTCAACCACTTTTAACAGTGGTTTGTCTATCTTATTAATCTTTTCAAAAGACCTACATTCAGCTTTGCTAAGCTTCCGTGATTTCTTTGTTGTCATTTGCTATTCATTTATGTCTGCCTTTATGTCTATGATTTCCTTCTTTTTCTTTAAGCTTATTCTGTTGCTACTTTTCCAGCCTCTTGAGATAAGCACTTAGCCCCTTTGTTTAAGATATTCTTTATCTTCTTAATGATGTATTTAAGGCTATCCCTTCTCTCCTAAGCTGCTTGATCTATGTCCCACAACTTTTGCCATGTGGCTTGTTCATTCATTTAATCCTAAATATTTTGTGACTGTTTTTATTAATTCTTCTTTAATCCAAAGACTGTTTAGTATTGTCATTTTTGTTTCTAGACACACAGTCTTTGGATTTTAACTGATTTGGAGTTTCATTGCATTTTGGTCAGAGAACAGTGATATGGTTTGGCTGTGTCCCCACCCAAATCTCAGCTTTAATTGTATCACCCAGAATTCCCACGTGTTGTGGGAGGGACCCGGGGGATGTAATTGAATCAGGAGTGCCAGTCTTTCCCATGCTACTCTCGTGATAGTGAATAAGTCTCACGAGATCCGATGGGTTTATCAGGGCTTTCCCTTTTTGCTTCTTCCTCATTTTTCCCTTGCTGCCATCATGTAAGAAGTGCCTTTCGCCTCCCACCATGATTCTGAGGCCTCCCTAGCCATGTGGAATTGCAAGTCCAGTGAAACCTCTTTTTGTTCCCAGTTTCAGGTATGTCTTTATGAGCAGTGTTAAGATGGACTAAATACAAACACTATCTGTGAGATGCGTATGATATTGGTCCTGTGGAATTTATTGAGGCTGTTTTTGTGCTCTGATTTATGGCCAATTTTGTAAATGTTCTACGTATAATCAAAATGCATTTTCCGTTATGTTTAAATTACATATTTGCACATAATTGTACACACACATTTAAGATTATTAAAAAGTTGTTCAAATCTTCTGTATACTTAATAAATTTTGTTTCCTTGCTCTATAAACTTATGAGAGAAATATGTTAAAATATTCAAATAAAATGGTTGATTTATCTATTTTTCTCTGTTTCTACAGCTACTTTTTATATGTATGTGCATGTGTATAAATATACACACATACATATTTGAGGCTATCTTACTAGGTGTGTATATATTTTTCATGATTTTATAGACTTATGATCCTTTATTCCTTTTACTGGAATATAACGTTCCTCCCTTTTTTTTCTTATAAAATTTTTTGGCTCATGTTTGCTTGCTATTTCTTCTTTTACCCTTTTATTTCCAATCTCTTGTTGTGTATCTTGCAGAAAGTGTATTCTTAAGTCTTGTGTTTTTAATCCAATTTAAGTCTCTATATTTTGAATTATGATTTTAACTCATTTATATTACTATAAATTGATGTTATATTAAGAATTATGTTTGCTATTTATTTCACATTTCTTATTTCACATTTTCATACTTGTTTTTCCTTCTTCCCTTTTTTCCACTGGATAGATAAAACTTCCCTCTGCTGGTCTGAATGCTCTATGTTCTTTTTTTTATGGTATTGGCCTAATTTACTCTCATTATTCAGGCTAAAACTGTGGGCGGTATCCTTGGTTCCCCTCCTTCTCTCACCAGTCCATAAGGATGTCCAGTTAGCTCTTCCTTCAAAATACATTCAGAATCTTATGGGGATATGAGATACATATATATATTTCTTTTTTTTTATTTTATTTATTTATTTTTTTTAAGACAGGGTCTCACTCTGTCACCCAGGCTGGAGAACACTGGTGCGATCATGGCTTACTGCAGCCTTGACCTCCTGGGCTCAGGTGATCCTCTGGATTCAGTTAGCCTCTAAAGTAGCTAGTACCACAGGTGTACACCACCATGCCTGGATAATTTGTGTGTGTGTGTGTGTGTGTGTGTGTATTTTTTATAGAGACAGATTTTCGCCATGTTGCCCAGGCTGTTCTTGAACTCCTGGGCTGAAGCAATTCGCCCACCTCAGCCTCCCAAAGTGCTGCAATTGCAGGCATGAGCCACCACACCCAGCCTGGCCCCTTGTATTAGTCTCTTCTCATACTGCTATAAAGAAATACCCAAGACTGGGTAATTTATAAAGAAAAGAGGTTTGATTGGCTCACAGTTCTGCAGGACGTACAGGAAGCATGGCTGGGAGGCCTCGGGAAACTAACAATTATGGCAGACGGTGAAGGGGAAGCAGGCTCATCTTACATGGCCAGAGCAGGAGGAAGAAAGAGAAGGGGGAGGCACTACAAACTTTTAAACGACCAGACCTTGTGAGAACTCACTCACTATCATGAGAACAACCAAGGGAAATACATCCCTATGATCCAATCACCTCCCACCATTGGCAATTATAATTAGATGTAAGATTTGGGTGGGGACACAAATTCAAACCATATCACCCCTGATTCCTCATCACTTCCACTGACACCCTCATCTCCTACCTGAGTCAATGTCCTCATGTCCCAACTGGTCTCCAGTCTTCCATCTTAGCTGCCTAGAATATGTTCTGATTTAAAAGCCATATCGGTGCTTTTAAAACATTAAGGCCACATTGTTCCCCTGCCCAAACTCTCCATCATCTGCTCACATCACTCAGAGGAGTTAAGCTCATGTAATGGCCTACGGGCACACCCCTCCTGGGAGACACCCTCTCCTCCCAATCTCCCCTTGGCCCTCTCCACTCCAGCTCCACTGCTGTTCTTCACACAGTGGGGCATGCTGCAACCTTAGGGCCTTTTCACTCTTCTCTCTTCATAGAACACTCCTCCCTGAGACAGCCATGTAGCTAACTCCCTCATCTCCTTCAGGACTGGGCTGGAACGTCTCCTTCTCAATGAGACCTACCCTCCCATTTTACCTCAGTTGCAGCCCTCCCCATCCTGGCACTCCCAATCCTTCTCCGTGCCACCTCGGGTTTTGCATAATACTTACAGGCTTCTATCATACCTTTATCTATTTATTCATTCATTTCTTATGCTTACTGAGTGCCTTCTGTCTCTCTCACTCCATGAAAACATTAGGGGTGTCCATGAAAACTGCAAGGCTCAGATCTCTGCTGTGAGAAGCACAATGGACTCACCGTCTCAGCTCACCCCTTGGGACCCACCATCACATTCATATTGAGTTCACACTTCCCACGGGCTGTTTCCAGCCAGCAGCTGAGCACAGCAAGGTCATTAACACGGATCCATTTGGCAAAATGCAAGACTCTCTTATGGGTGACTTTGGTTCAAGAATTC